>NC_000001.11:247396242-247547757 GCF_000001405.40 Homo sapiens | reverse complement strand
GCCACTCCAGCCAATCCATGGAGCGGTAAAGGCACTAAGAAGCGTGTTCCGCCATTGCTGTCCTTGACCAGAAACACCGGCATCTCTGAGAACTTATTAGAAATGCAAACTCTCAAGATCCACCTAAAACCTGCTGAATCAGAAACTCTCAGGGGTGGATTCCTCCTGTTCCCTACTAAAATTTGAGAGCTACTGAAATAAATCTTTGTTTCTCTTATCTGATTACTCACAAATAAGCTCATTAATCCTCAAATGCTCAAGTAAGTAGCTCCATGTTAGTTTTTAGTCACCGAATGACAGAAATGTGGTAACACGAAAGGTTTCCATCTTTTCAGCACCTCTAACTCCCATTCTGTCCCATCCTAGCATAAATTGGTCTGGTAAACAAATCTCCTGGAACTCACGTTCTCCATCTGCAGAATGGATAGGAGCTACGTGAAAGGGAGTCTCAGTAAGCCGTAGGTATCCTGCCATTATTATGGCCATGGCTGCTGTTTGAGAACAAAGACATGCACAATATTCAACTTGATTTAAGTTCTCAATGCCATGTAGAAAATTAAGTACAAATAAGAAAAAATAAAATATTTAAATAACCCAGAATCCTACTACCCTCAACTACCTTCTTGTGCTTTTTTGTTTGTTTGTTTTTGTCTTTGAGACAGGGTCTTGTTCTGTTGCCCAGGCTGGAGTACAATGGCATGATCAGGGCTCAGCTGCAGCCTGTACCTCCCAGACTCAAGCGATCCTCCCTCCTCATCCCCCAAGTAGCTGGGAACACAGGTGTGTGCCATCACACTAGGCTAATCTTTTTTTTTTTTTTTTTTAATTTTAGTAGAGAAAAGGTCTTGTTACGTTGCCCAGGCTGGTCTCAAACTCCTGAGTTGAAGCGATCCTCCTGCCTTGGCCTCCCAAAGTGCTGGGATTACAGGCTTGAGCCACCACATCCAGCCCCCTTGTGAATTCTGGTGCACACATTTATCATCCTTGCTTTGTGAAAACAAACATGCACCCATTGATTTAAAAGTTTCCAAAAATAGGATCATCCTTTGCACATAAGTGTTATCATGCCATAAAATACAGTTTTAAAGACCATTTTCAGCCGGGCGCGGTGGCTCACACCTGTCATCCCAGCACTTTGGCAGGCCGAGGCGGGTGGATCATGAGGTCAGGAAATTGAGACCATCCTGGCTAACACAGTGAAACCCTGTCTCCACTAAAAAAAATACAAAAAATGAGCCAGGCGTGGTGGCGGGCACCTGTAGTCCCAGCTACTCGGGAGGCTGAGGCAGGAGAATGGCGTGAACCCGGAAGGCGGAGTTTGCAGTGAGCCGAGATCGCGCCACTGCACTCCAGCCTGGGTGACAGAGCGAGACTCGTCTCAAAAAAATAAAAATAAATAAAAAATAAAGACCATTTTCTCAGCCAGGTGTGGTAGCATGTGCCTGTAGTCCCATCCACTTGGGAGGCTGAAGCAGGAGGATTGCTTGAGCCCAGGAGTTCGAAGCTGTAGTGTGCAATGATCATGCCCGTGAATAGCTACTGCACATCAGCCTGAGCAACAGAGCGAAACCGTCCCATCATTAGACAAAACAAAACAAAACGAACAAACAAAAATTTATTTCTTTCTTTCCTAGCTTTGTTGATATATTGATATAAAAGAACGTGAATATAATTAATGTACATAATTTGATGAGTTTGGACATATGCGTACATTTATGCTACCATCACCACAGTCAAGGTAATAAAGATATCTATCATCTCCGACAGTTTCCTTGTAGCTCTTCGTGATTTTTTCTTTTTTCTTTTTGTAGTAAGAACAATTAACATGAGATCTACACTCTTGACGAATTGTTAAGTACACAATACCTTATGTTTAACTAGAGATACTATGCTGTAACAATGAGAATGAAAAGGCAACCTATGGAGTGGGAGAAAATATTTGCAAACCGTATATTTAATAAGGGGTTAATTACCAAAAAATTTAAGGAACTCACACAGCTCAATAGCAAAAATAACTAAATAAACAAACATAACCCAATTTTGAAAATGGGCAAAGGTACTGAATAGACACCTCTCCAAAGAAGACATACAAATGGCCAAGAGGTCTTTGAAAAGATACTCAACATCACTAATTATTAGGGAAATATGAATCAAAACCACGATGAGGGCTCTCATACCTGTTAGGATGACTATGATTAAATACATTTTCTTAACATCATTACTAATGGGTGCAAAGTACCCCTTTGCATAATCATCATAATGATAGTTTTCAACCAGTTCTTTTTTTGTTGTTATGTCCAGTTTTTCTGTTGCAATAATGCTACAGTTAATATTCTTACAAATAAATCCTGACAGTATTATTGACAGTGCTTATAATTGTTAATACTAGCTGGCAAATTTGCCTATATAAAAAATTGTACATATTTGTAATATTAAATCTACAACAGGAGTTGCCCACCAGAGGAGTAGGAGATCTTGTCTCAGTCAGTCCTGCAAGGCATGGGGCCAGACCAAGCACGTGCACTGAAACAGGGCATACCTGTTGACAGCGAGTCCCTGCTCATTTGCAGATAATATTGGAACCAAAACCAATTCCTTACCTAAGTACAGGGTAGAGAAACAAACTCTCAAATCTGACTCAATTATTTCATTTTTAAGGAATGACCAATAAGATGAGAATTAACCAATGAAAAAGCTAGCATTTCACCAAATGGGATATTTGGCTTCAAATGTTTTCAATGTCATTGCTTGACTACATTTAAATCTTGTTGTATTTGTTGTATGATAGAAAAAAATTACCTCAAATTTGGTAAAAGGCAAAATGAAGATTGCTTGGTTATTTGTTGTTATTATTTCATACTAAAAAAAGTTCTTTTTTGTTTTTGTTTTGTTTTGTTTTTGTTTTAAGACAGGTCCTGCTCTGTTGCCCAGGCTGGAGTGCAGCGTGTGATCTTTGCTCACTGCAGCTTCAACCTCCCAGGCTCAAGTGATTCTCCTGCCTTGGGCTCCCGAGTAGCTGGGACTACAGGGCATGCCACCATGCCCAGATAATTATTGTTTTTGTTTTTTTTGGTAGAGACAGCGTTTTGCCCTGTTGTCCATGTTTCCATGTTTGCCATGTTGTCTTGAACTCCTGGGCTCAAGCGATCCACCCACCTCTCAAAGTGCTGGGATTATACGTGTGAGCCACCCTGCCCAGACAAGAATTTTCTCATTAGCCTAATTGATCCTCATGTGGAACTTGTGGGGAATGTACCTTTGTGGTCACAATATATTTGCAAATCTAAATGGAAGGTTTCTCTTTATGACACCACTTGCCTGAATATATCACAGCTGAGAGTTGTGTTTCCCTACGTGCAGCTGCCGGGCAGAAGCTGTTATATGAACAGAAACTTCGAAGGATATAAAACCCAAAGCTAATAGTGTTGAAAAACTTGGAGAGGTCTTATTTACCAACTCTTTTAGAATCAGGACCTAACTAAAAATGTTTTCCTGACTGATGAATGATACAATTCGGTTTAACAAGCTGTCTACAGATCTGTGGCCTAATTCTGTCCTTCCAAGCATGCAAAATTTCGACCTTTCATCAGCACAGCCATCATGAGCTCTCTCTCTACAACCTCACATGAAGTTTTCATTCAGCAGCCTGCTTGGTGTGTTTCTTTTAGTGACATGTGGTCCTATCCTTTATCAGTGATCAACTCAGCTTGTTTTTCAATGCTCTGGTGCCCATTGTTTTAATTGTTTGACATAAGAATTAGCAACTTATAAAGGTTCTCTTGTTCACATAAAATTAGAAGTTAAACCAGGGTGACGCACACTTGTAGTCAGTCCCAGCTACTCCAGAGACTGATATTAGAGGATCCCTTGAGCCCAGGAGTTTGAAGCTGCAGTGAGCTATGATCATGCCACTGCACTCCAGCCTGGGTGACAGAGTGAGACTCTGTCTCTAAAAAAATTTTTTTAATAAGATTAGAGGTTAACCTGCAGAAATTGATAAGTTACTACCAATAACTTATGGCTGGTAGAGAAGCAAGTAGTTTTGATTTATTTTAAGTAGAAAGTTAAATAAATTCATATATAATTTAGTAATCTTAGTTTGGGTATTTGTTTCTGGAGTAACTCCATATAAGTCCCTATTATTCAAATGCTTTTAGAACCAGCTCTTTTGACTTTCTGCTTTGTCCACGATAATTACTATAATACAGTGTTCCGCCTTATCCATGGGGGATAATTTCCAAGACCCTCCCAGTTCAGTGGATGCCTGAAACCGTGGATACTACGGAACCCTGTATATACTATGTTTTTCCTATACATACTTATGATAAAGTTTAATTCATAAATTAGGCACAGCAAGAGATTAATAATAAAAAATAGAACAATTATAACAATATACTGTAATAAAAGCTATTTGAATGTGTGTTCTGTCTCTCTCAAAATACCTTATTGTAGTACACTGTGGGTAACTGATAAGGGGGGCTACCATAACAATAAATACTAATATATCAATAACTAATGCTTTGACACATGCTTAATAACAACTTTGAACATCTTGTTCTTATGCTTCCAATTGAAAGACATACTGTACTAGAGACAATTACTTATATTATATCCAAACGATGGGCATTTCTTTAGCCTTGTTTTCAAGGGCACTGATTCTAGCCCTGAGACTGAGTAAGGCCAGCTTGGTGCTCCCTGCTGACTCCGCTGTTGATTAGATCCTGCAGTTAGGGAAGCTAAGGACAGATATTTGGTTGCAGAATATGTGCTTCCTCATATTATTCTGGTCTACAGCTCTACACAGATCCTCTGTCTTCTACCAGGTCTCATGCAGCTTGCTGCCAACTAACTGTAGACAATTACTCCTCCACTGATTATCTGGGGCAAATTCTATTTTTTATTTCCTACGTATTTTACATATTCTTCTTGGTAATTTTATTTTGGACTAAGTAGAATTTTAATAATTCTAGTCAAATAGTCATTAAATTAGAAGCCCTTGTTTGCTAAATTCATGACATTCTTTGTAGAAGAGGAGCTTTCACATCACAGGGGTGACTAGATACTGTAGTTTAAAAAATAACCTGTTTCAGGCTTAGTTTAGGTAAAATTAAAATGTCAAGCAACATCTCCCTTCATGAAGTATGTAGCAAGTAAAATTTAAAGATTTTATTGATACTGAAAATTTCAGGTTTGCATAAACCCAAAACCTAGAGAGCAATTCGCTCTTCTATTTGAGGTATTTGGACACTCAAAGTACATTTAAAAATGCAAAGTCTAGAACAAAATATACCTACAAGAACTGAATGATCCACTTTGGGATTTTCTGTGCAATTATTTCCTTCCACCTTTTCCATATGCTGCTCCTTGGACCACCAGTATTCTACAAGGAGTTACTTTGCATTGAAAATATCATACTGGCATACATTTTCTTTCATTTTCTTTGCTTTTTACTTCTTTCTTCCTTTTTTTAAAAGACAAGGTCTCACTGTGTAGCCCTGGCTGAGATGAACTGGCTATTCCCAGGCATGATCAGAGCATGCTAAAGCTTAGAACTCCTGGGCTCAAATGATCCTCCTGCCTCAGCCTCCCCAGTAGCTGGGACTACAGGTATGCACCACAATGCCCAGCTTGGCTTGCATTTTTTCTAAAATAAATTAGTTGCGGTATGAAAACACAAAAAGCATATTTATTAGTTATTAGTTTGTCTATTCATCTTTTCTTTTTCCTTTTTTTTTTTTCTTTTTTTTTGAGACAGAGTCTCACTCTGTTGCCCAGGCTGGACTGCAGTGGAACAATCTCGGCTCACTGTAACCTCTGCCTCCTGGGTTCAAGCGATTCTCCCTCCTCAGCCTCCTGAGTAGCTGGGACTACAGGCACGCACCACCATGCCTGGCTAATTTTTGTGTTTTTTGTAGAGACAGGTTTTCACCATGTTGGGCAGGCTAGTCTCAAACTCCTGACCTCAAGTGATCCGCCCACCTCAGCTTCCCAAAGTGCTGAGATTACAGATGTGAGCCACTGTGCTCAGCCAGGTTTTTCTATCCATCTTTTCTAGGAGTCCTCTGCCATTCTTAAAAATAGAAATCCCTATTACTGCTCACCTAAGGGTTTTTCTATTTCAAGAAGCAGCCGGGTTTCAGGCCAACATCTCAAATTTGGAGTGTCTGTGTGTTTTTTGACTTGTAGTTTGATTTGAAAACACCATTCATTTTCTGTGTGCAGGAGACCTGATTTTTTATTTGGGCTCCACCTTGGTTCCATCTGCACCCCAGTTTCAGCCATTTGGGGATGAGACTGAGTACTCCATATAGGCCATGATGAGACCGTGCGGAAAATACCGACATATAATGAATAGCTGAATTAGTTCTCAATATTCTACCCCACCAACTGTGATCCATATGACATGGGAGGCCAAACCTACTGCTTTGCTCAAGGATATACCATGGAAACTTGAGTTCTGAGAAGCTCAGTTGCTGGGAAATTGCCAAAAGACATTAATTATAAGCAATGCATTGCTCTAACTAGCAAGAGGCATTTCCTTGTTGTTTTAATAGCTTCAATAGGAAAAAAAAAATTGAAAAAGCTTTTGCAAGAAAATAGTCACAGGATTTATAATTTAAACCAGCATAGGTTTAGACAAAACTATGACCAAATGGGTAAAGAAATGTCTGGATGAAAAAATAAAAGGCTTGAGTAGTGTAACTGTCACTTAAAAGAATATTTGTGTCATTTTTGAAAAAAATTCTTTTCAGCAGTTTCTTTTATTTTTAATACTCAGTAACTCAATGCCTTCTAAACAGAAATAGAGAACATATAAAAATGAGGATATGCAAGACATTACAACTTTCTCAAAGGCTCTTGAGTTTTTTTCCTTGCAGGTGGTTACAGTTTAGGAAATGCATGAATGACAAATATTTGGTAGTGGAGTGATTGTATTCTACGTGAATTGAAAAGAAAAGAGAAACTGCAAAACCCGGAGTGCAGTCTTATCCTTTCTAATCCTTCTGACGCGTTGCAGAAAGCTTGCTCGTTTGCAATAAAGTAAGGCCTCCCTCCCCCACTTGCTCTTGCATCCCCACAGTGGTCACTGCCCCCACCTTCAGTTCATACATCTGCTCACACATCAGCACTCCTTTATTAAGCTGCATCTTCGTGCCCATGCTCGGAAACTGGGGATGCAGAAGAAACAAAGTAGACACCACTGCCTTCATGAGCTTCTATTCTGACAGAACAAGACACATAAGTAAAAATAAGCATGTAGAATGCTTCAATACGTGCTGAACAGTGCTCCGGAGAGAAATAGAGCAGAAGTGGGAAAAGGATAAGTTTGACAATTCGAAGTAACACCATCAGGGAAAATGCCTCTGAGGTGAAGGTTAAGGACAGATGTGAGGCCTCAGCCAAGCACTTGTTAAGAGATGGAAACTGGCTGGGCGTGGTGGCTCAAGCCTATAATCCCAGCACTTTGGGAGGCTTAGGCAGGTGGATGATGAAGTCAGGAGTTCGAGACCAGCCTGGCCAACATGGTGAAACCCCATCTCTACTAAAAATACAAAAAATTACCCAGGCGTGGTAGCACATGCCTGTAATCCCGGGAGGCAGAGGTTGCAGTAAGCTGAGATTGGGCCACTGCACTTCAGCCCAGGCAACAGTGCGAGACTCTGTATCAAAAAGAGAGAGAGAGAGAGACTATTCTAGGCAGAGGAACCAGCAGAGCTAAAAGCAGCATGGCAAGTGAGAGCCTGGCGTTTTTGAGGAGCGAGGAAGCCTGTGAGGCTACAGTAGAGGGAGGAATGGGAGAAGTGGTGGGAAGTGGGATCAGAGAGGTAATGTGTGTGGAGGGGGAAGGCGCAGACAGTAGATACTCATGGATTATGAAACAACATGGGGTATTTACAGAGTCAGGTAGGAAGTCAGTGAAGCGTTTTCAAGTAAAATCGTTGTGATTTTAATACAAGTAATCTAGCTGAGACAGGGTGATTCGTTGTAAAAATGATTGTAATCTGGATATCTTTAAAAATAGAGTCAAAAGGATTTGCTGACAGATTATATGTGAGGAACAGAGGTCGTGGAAATGAGAGGGGTCAATGTTTGAGGCCGAGGGCTCCCCTGATTAGGCCCAGACTTAACTTGCCTCACTGGCTTTAGTCGCTTGCTTTTAGTCGGTCACTTGTTTCTAGTTTATTTTAAGATTTTCATAGCTAAAGGTCACGTAGCTAAGCAATATATAATAAAAAAAAATAAAACTGCCACCAGTTTCCTCAGAGATAACATCTCTCATGTATAGATCACTGTGGTAACGATTGCTTAAGTTCTTTTCAGGAACGAGGGTCAACTCTTGTCCAGTTCAAGCTAGCTGAAACCACTGGTCCCCAACTGGACCTGCGTGAATATCCAATGGGTGACCTTTAGATGTCACAGTGCCCAAAACTCCACCCTCAGATCATGTTAATGACACCATTTTGTGAACATGTGTGCTATGAAGAGCCATGAAGTTTGACTATATTTGAGCAGATTACTGATTACCTCATTTTTTCCTACCCCAATCACATTTTCCTACACCTTGGACCACCTCACTCCTCTATCCCATAAATATCCCTAAAATCCCATTTTCAGGGAGACTGATTTGAGACCTGTTCTCCTGCTTTCTCACTTGACTCCCTCATAAATAAACTCATTCTCTGCCACAAAACTCATCATTTCAGTGATTGGCATACGGTGCCATGGGTTTGGAACCACATGGACTCCAAGCTTCTGGACTAAGCAAATGGAAGAATAGAGTTCTCAGTTGTCATCAACTGAGAAGAGGAGACTGCAGCTGGAGGAGGTCAGGTGTACAACAGGGTTCGTTTTCTAAAGTGTTGCACTGGAGCTTTGCATTAGCCATCTGTATTAGGCAGGTCGAGATATCATAACAAAACACCACAAACTGGGTGGTGGCGGGCAACAGAAATGTATTTTCTCACAGTTCTGGAGACTGGAAGTCCAAGATCAAGGTACCCTCAGGGTTGGTTTCTGATGACGCTTCCCTTCCAGCTCGCAGCCATCTGCCTGCTTGCTGTGTCCTCATCTGGCCTTTCCTCTGTGCATGTGTGGAAAGAAAGAGACTGGGGTAGGCAGGGAGGGAAGATAGCTAGTATTTCTTACTCTTTTTATAAGTATTCCAATCTTATGACATTAGGCTGCCACTCTTATAAACTCATTTACTCATAATTATCCCCTTAAGGGCCTTATCTCCAAATATAGTCACATTGTGGGTTATGGTTTCAACATATGAATGGGTGTAGGGCACAATTCAGTTCATAACACCATCCAAATGAAGCTGTAGTATAGGCAGTTAGATATGTGAATCTGAAGTTTGGCATAGAGGTGCTGGCCAGGAATATAATTCAGAGAGTCTTCAGAATACGGTTCATATTTGGACCCATTAGACTAGATACTAGCTAACATACGTCTATGGGTTTATGTCACTTGATTTTTGACAAGGGTGTCAATAGAGAAAGTGTAATCCTTTCAACACATATATCCAGTTCAACACAACTGGATAGACACCTGCTAAAGAATGAAGTTGGACCCTACCTTACAGCATATACAAAACGTAACTCAAAATACATCAAAAGCCTAAATGAAAGAGCAAAAAATTATAAACTCTTAGAAGTAATCATAGAAGTACATTTTCATGACCTTGGAAGTCTCACTGTTTTGTTAAATATGACATGAAAACCAAAAACAACAACAAAAAAAATAGATAAATTAGTCTTCATCAAAATTAGAAACTTTTGTTCATCAAAAAGACATTGTCAAAAGAGTTAAAAGACAATATACAGAGCGAGAGAAAATATTTGCAAATCATGTATTTCATAAGGGTATAATATTCAGAGTATATAAGGAACACTTACAAAAAGACAAACAACCCAATCAAAAAATAGGCAAAAGACTTGAATAGACATTTTTCCAAAGAAGACAAGTAAGTGGCCAACAAGCACATTAAAAAATGCACAACATTATTAGCTGCTGGGAAACACAAATCAAAACCACAATGAGATGCCACTTTGTATCCACTACGATGGCCATAAAGGAAAAAAAAAAGATTGTAAAAAGTGGAAAATAACAAGTGCTGGTGATTATGTGGAGAAACTGGAACACAAATTGCTTGTAGAAATGTAAAGACTGTTTAGCTGCAGCAGAAAAGTTTGCTGGTTCAATAGTAAGTTGTTCATAGAATTTCCATAAGACCTAGCAATTCCACTCCCAGGTATACCCAGTAGAATCAGAAACGGAGTTCAAACAAAAACTTGTATGTGAATGTTCATAGCAGCTCTATTCACAATAGCCAAAAGGTAGAAACAACTCAAATGTTCATCAACAAACTAACCCAAATGTCTGTCAACAGATGAATAAACAAAAGGTGGTAGAGTCATAGAATGGAATATTATTCCTCTTTAAAAGAGAATGAAGTACTGATACACGCTACAACATAGATGAACCTTGAAAATATCATGTTAAATGAAAGAAACCAGACACAATAACATGTATGATATAAGTCCATTTATATGTAATATCCAAAATAGGCAAATCCATACATAGAGAAAGCAGATTAGTGGCTGGCAGGGCTAGGGAGAGCTGGCAAATGAAGACTGACTGCTCGATGGCTACAGGTTTTCCATTTGAGGTGATGAAAAAGTTCTGACGCTTGATAGAGGTGATGGTACAGTCTTGTGAAAGAACTTAATTCCACTGACTTGCACACTTAAAATAGTTACAATGATAAATTTATATGCTATCTGTATTTTACCAAAATAAAAATAAATTGATAAATTTAACTTATTAAGAAAAACATTATCTCATCACTGATGTATACACCAATAATAAAATCAATGGTTTTTTTAAAAAAAGAGTCTATAGCAGCATGTATCAAAATTAACAGAATGAGCAAATGTCTCAGACTATCTCCCTCACTACATGATAGAGAGACTTGATTCTTACGCTCCATAAGCAGTTTGGCAGTATAAAAACTAAAATAATATTCCAGTCATAAAAAAGAAACAATTCTGTGTGTGTAATACAATGAAGTTATAATTATCCAATAGGGAAAGAAATCCCAAAAGCTTTTTTCCCTCCACTTTTACTCCCCTGATATATGCCATCACCCTCAGGCTCCCTCCTGAAGGCTCCAGGGGTTACAATCAATGTCTTAGAATTATAAGGACTTTATGTCACACTTCACCCTTTAGGGTCTGCATATACTTTCTCATTCTGGAAACACCATGAGCCATTCTCACTCCTTTGATTATCAATTTTCTTACAAAGTATTTTAAGTGCTTTCTGCTAGTTCAATCCCATTGTGATTTAAATACTTAATAATGTGTCCTTTAGACATGAATTTGAACAGAATCTAACACGTCTGCTACCACCGACTTAGAGATTTCCACTATTTGCAGGGCTTTAAAATCCCCTGGCTAAACTCCTATTTTTTTAATGCCACACGCATTGAATTCATGAATGTTATCAGTCTTTTTAATAAAATATTGCCCATTTTACAACATTTCCACCCTGCATAAATAGAGATGATGCTGCTAGCTCACCATTAGTAAGTGACATTTTGAATTTTGTCGTTTGTTTGTTGTTGTTGTTGTTTATGGTATTTAAGATAAACTGGATCTCAGACTTTCTGGTAATTCCAGTTAAAATTGATAAGCACTGATCCGTTTAAATGATCTGATTTCCTCATGTGGCCTTTGATATTCTAGCAGCTTGCCTATGTTCTGCGATACAGTTTGTGACTGCCTAGTTAACTCAGACAAAATTTGAACTCAAGACGTTTCCTTAACTTTCAGTATGCTATCTTTGTCTTAATGGCACAGTGTTTGGGATAGGGTTGCATTTTGAAAAGTGAGTTTTTAATTGTGACAATTTTGGTGAATCTCTGCGGGTAAGCAAACCTCTTCCTTTACTGAAAACGCTATTTTTGTACTAAGAATCTGAGTATCTTGGGTATAGCTCCAGTATGACTAAGCAGCCCAGGGGCTTTGGATAAGTTACTAAACATTTCTAGAAGTAGATCAGATCACCACAAAGATCTCTTTTTCCTCAAAAATTCTACTAAACTATTACCTCATGAGTGACCTTGTGGTTCCTCTCAGCATCATTTACACATTTTCTGCATGTTATCAACTGTGAGTCAACAAAATTTTTATCTTTCCACAGATGGGATATACTTACACCCACGGGTCATAATGCAGTTGTCAGTTTAACCTGTTGTTTTTCAGCTCACCTGCGGTGACTCTATATACAGTACACCCACTTTGACTGTCATGACTCAGTTGTACCTAACTCTCCCAATCCCAGTTCATCTTTTCTCTCTCACATTCACATGATGAAAACATCCACGTTTTGACAGGTCTCAACTCTACCTCCCTGATTGGTTTGTTTGTTGTTGTTTTGAGACAGGGTCTTGCTCTGTTGCCCAGGCTGGAGTGCAGTAGCACAATCATGCCTCATTACAGCCTTGATCTCGTGGGTTGAAGCCATCCTCTAGCCTCAGCTTCCCAAGTAGCTGAGACTACAGGCACACACAGCCACACTCAGTCATTTTATTTTATTTTTTTGTAAAGACAATCTCTCACTATGTTGCCCAAGCTGGTCTCAAACTCCTGAGCTCAAGTGATTCCCCCCACTTCAGCCTCCCAAAGTGCTAGGAATACAGGCATGAGCCACCGCCCCCGGCTTGCCTCCCTGATTTGGAGGAGGTTGGAATGTATTCTCCAGGATGCCTTCTCCCATAGTATTAATGCTTCCCTGGCCTACTATATGCAGGCCAGATGATTGTCTCAGTATTCTGACACAGTAAGTCCACAATGGGACAGCTTCCACGTGTGAATTTTAACAAATGCCTAGAGTTTTCTGAGCCTCATTTCTATACATGCACAATGGAAAACCTACCTGTATTTTTAAAACTGAATGCACATGTCTGTTCATGTCTATTTTGTTTAATTGACTTCCAGTTACAGGGATAGGTAAATTCTACTCTCTGGGATTTTAAGAAGGCTGATAGTTAAGTTCACAGCTGCTCTGTTCCCCTAATCTGGGTGAATCTTAACTATAATAAATTGATTCTCCTTTTTAAAATACAGGCTAGAATTAATGTTTTGCAAAGAAGGGCCCCAAAGGTCTTCAGGGACATCGGAAGCACACTGAAATTGTCCAGTTTCTGACTTTATGCACTGCCCCTGCTAAATCGTGCTCGTTTTATTCCAACTGTACAAAAGCAGAGGATAGTCCAGACCCTTCTGCATGACTCTGGCAGTTCCAAGAGCTCTCTCCTGACAACACTACCGAAAGTTTATGCTGAGTCCTTCCACTCTGCCTTCATATTACTCTAGTCCTGCCTCTTCCACCCCACAGAACCTTTCTAGCAACCTGTTTCATGATGCACGTCCATGAATATTGATTAAGGGACTACTGTGTATCAGACACTGGGTTAGACACTGGGGACCCAGAGGTAAACAAAAGATAAAACTATGGCTCCATGGAATTTATGATCTAGTGGAGCGAGACGGGTAGCAAACAAAAGAAATAAGAGTAGTTTATTTGTTATAAGATTATCACCTTATATAAAAATAATTCAGGAAAGAGAGAGAAGGGAGTTGTGAGGGTTTTCAATATTATATAACACAGTCAGGGAGGGCCTCAGTCAGAAGGTGACTTTTCAAAAATGACCTGAAGAAGGTGAGGAAGGGGGTGTGTGGATGTCTTGGGGAGAAAGCACTGTAAGTATAGCAAACTGCAGCTGCAAGCCTTGTACCAAGACAATGAGGGTGTTGAGCAGCAGACTGATGTGATCATATGTCTTAATGTAATCCTGTGATTGCTTTCGTAGGAGTGAGGGAAAATTTCACCTTTGTCCTCTGAAATTTCACAGAAATCAACTGACAAATGGCAGATTCATAGGAGAAAAGACATACACATTTATTTGATCATAGTTTTACATAACAGAGGAGCCTTCAGATGAGAATCCAAAGATACAAGAGAAACTTCCCATTTTTATGCTTAGGTTCAAAGCCATATGGACAGCCATGTAGAAATATGATTGAACATGAAGGGCATGATCTAATACTGATGGACTGAGTGAAGAAGCCCAGCAAGACCCATCGTGAGATTCTTTTTGGCCTCTCTGAGCAGTGTTCCTTTTTTCTTGGTATGCAATAAGACCTCTCTGGAATGGAGGTCTTATGATCTACAATCCAGTAAGGTAGGTCAGATAATTTATTTATGGCTAGTTTTAACACAGAAAGGTGGAGGGAAAGTTAGAGTAACATTTTTAGGTTTTATGGCTGGCTTTGAGGAAAAGGGGCTCTGGTTTCTATGTGTCACCTTGGGGAAGAGGGATTCTAATTTCTATGGCTAACTGCGGGGAAGAATGAGGGGCCACGGACAAGAAGGCAGGAGAAAGAGAAACTTTTGCTTCTGAAGCCTTCATGGTGGGGTATCATTTTCTGAGCCCCAACACTTTTTTGAGAGTACTTGGAAGGGGAGCAAAGGAGAAGCAGAGAGATGAGTTAGAGTATTAGATCAAAATTCAGATGATAAATGATGGCAAGATGGGCCAGAGTGGCAGGAGCAGGGGTGGTGAGAAGGGATAAAAAACTGGATATAGTTAACGACAGCAAAAACTTGCAGATGATTGTGGAATTTGAGAGGGCACAATTTTAATGCCTGTACAGTGGTTCATCACATGAATGACCACCCTCTACCTGACTAACCCTTTATTGCTAAACATTTAGGTTGCATATAGATGTTGTTACTATAATATTTCCATTTTAAAAAAGCAGTGCTAAGGATTTTGCATGAATGTCCATTTTCCCCAGACAGTGAACACCCCCCACCCAGTCTTTTATTATACAGTCCAAGTTGGCCGTGAGGAAGGTAATGCAATGCCATCCACGTAGCTGTTGAGTGGCTACTTTTGAAAACAATGGGTATAAAATGTACTTTTAGCCAGACATGGTAGTACGTGCCTGTATTCTCAACCTACCAAGGAAGTTGAGGTGGGAGGATTGCTTGATCCCAAGAGTTTGAAGTTAGCCCGGGCAACACAGTGAAATTGTGTCTCTAAAAAAGAATAACATAAAATGAACTAAAATACACTTTTAATGTTTGCTAACTGATGTAATTGCTTCATGTCTCATGCCCTGTATGCCCTGTGCTCTTCCCACAGGTGGCCTTTTGCCCCACCCCCAGCATACAATGATGGAAATAGCCAATGTGAGTTCTCCAGAAGTCTTTGTCCTCCTGGGCTTCTCCACACGACCCTCACTAGAAACTGTCCTCTTCATAGTTGTCTTGAGTTTTTACATGGTATCGATCTTGGGCAATGGCATCATCATTCTGGTCTCCCATACAGATGTGCACCTCCACACACCTATGTACTTCTTTCTTGCCAACCTCCCCTTCCTGGACATGAGCTTCACCACGAGCATTGTCCCACAGCTCCTGGCTAACCTCTGGGGACCACAGAAAACCATAAGCTATGGAGGGTGTGTGGTCCAGTTCTATATCTCCCATTGGCTGGGGGCAACCGAGTGTGTCCTGCTGGCCACCATGTCCTATGACCGCTACGCTGCCATCTGCAGGCCACTCCATTACACTGTCATTATGCATCCACAGCTTTGCCTTGGGCTAGCTTTGGCCTCCTGGCTGGGGGGTCTGACCACCAGCATGGTGGGCTCCACGCTCACCATGCTCCTACCGCTGTGTGGGAACAATTGCATCGACCACTTCTTTTGCGAGATGCCCCTCATTATGCAACTGGCTTGTGTGGATACCAGCCTCAATGAGATGGAGATGTACCTGGCCAGCTTTGTCTTTGTTGTCCTGCCTCTGGGGCTCATCCTGGTCTCTTACGGCCACATTGCCCGGGCCGTGTTGAAGATCAGGTCAGCAGAAGGGCGGAGAAAGGCATTCAACACCTGTTCTTCCCACGTGGCTGTGGTGTCTCTGTTTTACGGGAGCATCATCTTCATGTATCTCCAGCCAGCCAAGAGCACCTCCCATGAGCAGGGCAAGTTCATAGCTCTGTTCTACACCGTAGTCACTCCTGCGCTGAACCCACTTATTTACACCCTGAGGAACACGGAGGTGAAGAGCGCCCTCCGGCACATGGTATTAGAGAACTGCTGTGGCTCTGCAGGCAAGCTGGCGCAAATTTAGAGACTCCAGTGCCTTCTGAGAAGGAAGATCAAGTTTACATCGAGCAAAGTGACCTTGGAAGACAGGGCACTTGGGATGTCGTTTTTCTTCTAATATTGTTTGAGCTCAAGGTAGATGGAAATCTGAAAGGAGTGTGCTCATGCCATTTCCAGACCAAGAAAATACATTTATTATTTGCTAATTATCATAGTTTTGTTCAATTGCGTTGTTGGTTTTTGCTATATATACACATGTTGACTGTCATCTTGTTTTGTAAACTCCTTGCGTTGTTGTTCAGCTGTTCCTCAGTATCCGAAGCGGGTGGATTCCAGGACGCTCCGTGGATAATAAACTTTGACGACGCTGAGAGCGCGCGGGGAGACCGGAGCCGGCCTGTTCCCCAGAGCCCCCGGAGCCCTCCCAGCCCTCAGGCCTGCGCCTGGGGTGAGCTGAGCCCGGGACTCCGCCTTGCAGGCTCCGGAACCCTCGCTGTGGCTCCCCCGCTCGGCCCAGGCCTTGAAGCCGCGGCGAACCTCTTCCTACCCTACCTCGGGGACCTGGTGGCAGCGGCGGCCTCCCCCAGCCTGGACCCCGCCGGCCGCGGGTCTCCCGGCCCAACCCCACCGACCCAGACCAAGACCGCGCCGAGCCGCCGGGACTCAGCGCCTTCGGGTGGCGGCGGTAAGCGGGGAGGAAACATGGCGCCGCCCAAATGCGCCCGGAGGCCGTTAGGCTGTGGAGGGCGAGGAAGGCGGTCCAGAGGCGGCCGGCAGGTCCACGTCCTGGGCGACCGCTCTGTCGCAGTTGGGCGAGACCTACCTAGTCCTGACGGGTCGTATTTCCAAGACATTTTCATATTCTATCCATTGTTTTGTGTGCATTTTATTACTTCTGTATATAGAGGTAACAACGCTAAGCTTTTTTGAGATGTCTGTTTCTTCTAGATGTTCTGAAGTACCTGATACATGTTAAAATTAGAGGTAGTAAAATGACACATTTTGTAAATAACTTTTTGTTAAAATTCATAGGAAATGTTATTTTGTGGGGGGGGGATGGCATGGTGTTTGTGGACTGGTTCAGGGAAGGAGGGGAAAAGGGAGGTGCAGAGAGCTCTAAGCCAGTGTGCTTACAGTGAGGCGAGATTCACCATTGTTTCTTATGATTGTGCATTTTGTTTTACTTATCTATGTATACAGTGTATCTAAAGGACAAACGAGTCCTAATTTACAACAGCTAGTCTTTCCAGATGTTAAAGAACTTCTATCAATAGAGTAACCTATCACTAGAGTTCACCTCTATCAATAGAGTAACCTCATTCTCTGCCTGATGATTCAAAGGCATGGGAAGACCAAAACCATGTGGCAGTTCCTGTTTTTGATTTTATTATATATATGTATATAATATGAAAGTAGTCATTAAAGTAGTCTTTCCTTTCGTACTAGGATCTTCCAATTCACTGTATTAGTCAGGGTTCTCCAGAGAAACAGAACCAAAAATATGTGTAAAAGAGAATACACACACACACACACACCCTGAGGGGGAGAGAGAGAAAAAAGAGTGAGAGAGATTGAGAGTTAAGAAATAGGCTCACACAATTTAGGGAACTGGCAAGTCTGAAATTTGCAGGGCAAGCCAGCAGGCTGTAAATTTTGACAGAGGTTGATGTTGCAGCTTGAGTTCAAAGTCTGGAGGCAAAATTCCCTCTTTTTGGAAGCAGGTCAGTCTTTTCTCTTAAGGCTTTCAACTGATGGGATGAGACCCACTCACATTATAAAGGGTAATCTGCTTTACTAAAAGTCTACTGATTTAAATGTTAATCGCATCAAAAAAAAAAAAAAAAAAAAAAAAAAACACCTTCACAGTAACACCGAGGCTTGTGTTTGAACAAAAACTGGGCACCATAGTCCAACCAAGTTGATATGTAAAATGAACCATCACACCAAACCCAAACTTTCAGTGAAGTGAAGCAACATTCTTCAACTGGATTATTATGCATCATGTACGAGACACTCTCATGTCTTGTTGGTTTCTGGACTCATGTATCAGGTTACGGTGACTGCAGGTTTAGGGCATACACTGCAGCCTGCAGGAAAGCAGTGCTTATTTACACAGTATTGTTTCTCAGCTTCAATAACTAAACCTTCAGCAGGCCATTCCATCATTCAATAAAGCCCATTCCATCATTCAGTCAAGCCCACTGCTTCTGAATATTGAGGTATGAAGTATGAATCATGAATTCCAAGGGCAATTCTATTGCCACACCCCTTTTGCTGTGAAATATGTTTCCTGGTTACAGGTGATATTGCAGGGGATGCCATGGTGATGATTAAGGCTTTGTTCACTATGTAAATGGTTCGGGCATGGAAGACAAAACTGTCCCCACAATATTATTCTGTCCCTATAAAGACTAACATTGCTTACTCTATGCTCAAAGGAGTCCAGAGTAATCACTATGCTACTAGTCCAGCCAGACGCCTGGAAATAGTGCCAAATCACATGCTAACCTTGGTGAGAGAAATGTCATAATGCTGAGCCCATTCATAGTTTCCATCCCTGCTTCCATGTTAAATTTCTCATAGGCTCAATGAGCAAGCCTGCTGGCAAAAGAGATTGACTGATTACCTACTAGATGAGTCATCTTATCTACCATACCACCAAGATCCATCTCTGCAGTGGATGCCCTCTCATGGGCATTTATGTCAGACAGATATCTTCATGATCTGTGCACTTTTCAGGAAATTCTTCAATGTCCTCTTCTCCAGATTTGCCTGCCATTAATTTTCCAGCCTTATTCTTCACAAATCTCTCAGCAAAATAATAACTTGTTATCCAATGCTCCTAAATCAGTGCATATCCAAACTTCTGTGCCTGTCTCCTTCTATAAAAAATTAACAACCAGCTAAACTGCCTGTAGTTTGACCACTGGGAAGTTTCCCTTCCTCACCATCTTTCAGCAACACCTGGAGGGGTACTGTGGTTTAATGCCATTTGCTTCTTTCTGTTGCTGGTGTATAATGCAGATTCATTTGTAAACTGGCCCATGCTTTTTCCTTCTTTAACAGTTGGCTAAACATGAAATATGGGTGAGATCATGCAGGATTTGTCCCTTTGTGTTTGGCTTATTTCACTTAACACAATGTCTTCTAGGTTCATGCATGTTGTGAAGACAGGATTTTGAACGCTCTCACCACAAAGAAATGACAAGTGTTTGAGGTAATGGATATGTTAATTACCTTGATTTGATCATTACACAAGTATACATGTATCAAAACATCATACTGCACCCCATAAGTGTGTACAATTGTTATTTGTGAATTAAAAACAAACTAAAATGAAATTTAAAAAATAATTATACAATTTTGGGGGCTTGGGGGTGGGGGAAGGGGAAGTAAAAAAGCAGACAGCAGGTACTCTAGGAGTCAGAGACACATGATAACATTATTATGAGTCAGGAAGGTAGGAAATCAAGTTACTGACATTTTTTACTCAGTTTAGAACCCAAAGACCGAAGAAACAGAAACAAATGGGGGAAATCATAACTTTTAAAGTATTAGATAAAATTTTTGAGAAAGTTAAATACTGCATGTTCTCATTCATCTGTGAAAGCTAAAAAAGGGTTGATCTCATAGAAATAAGTAGAACAGAGGATACTTGAGGCTGGGAATGGATAGCAGGGGTGGGGGAATGAGAAGAGATTTGTTAAAGGATACAAAATTACAGCTCCATTGGAGGAGTAAGTTCTAGTGTTCTATACCACTGCGGGATGACCATAACAATAATATATTCTGTATTTTCAAACAGCTAGAAGGAGGATATTGAATGTTCCCAGCACGAAGAAACGATAAATGTTTGAGATGATGGATATTCTAATCACACTTATCTGATCACTATACATTATGTGCTTCCAAACATCACTGTTTACCCCAGAAATATGTTCAATTATTATATGTCCACTAAAAGCTAAAATAAAAAAATTTTCAAACATTCAAGATCTGAAGAAAAACTTCAATCTGAATACTAAAAACTTTCCCTAACCTCTTGAAAAGACTAATTAAAAATCTCTGGAGTTTGGATGCACTGTAATTTTCATCTGCCAGTTCATGGCTTTGTTTAAGCTCAGTAGTCAAGTTGGTAGAACCTCCAGAGAAAGCAATGAGGAAGTGGCAGTAGGACCCTCTGGGACCCGTTACCCCAAATATCTGTCATCTTCTTGACCTCAAGGCTGGGTGTCAACTCAGGACAGGAGTGCAGGTCCTCATCAGTTTATGTGGGGATAGCAGACAACGCAGACCCTCCCAGAACCATGAGGACAGCACTGTGCTTTGCCCTGACCATCCATCAGCCCCTGTTTGGCACAGAGGAGAATGATGACCATAACTCACACTCTCCTCCAACTGCCTTAAATGCTCAGGCTGATTGGTCATGTGCTCACCCAACTGCTCCCTAAATGCTTAACAGAAAATGAAGACATCCTCTCCAGAACCCAAGGAAATACACTTGAAATGTGATTTGTACCTCAGATTGGCATCCAAGAACTGAAAGAAACACCAGGCATTCCACACAATTTCTGGCTCCACATCCAGTAGAACTATTGGAATCCTCCAACATAACCATCTTGAGGCAGTAAATCCTGAAAGAAAGTGAAAGAAGACCTTTCTAAATAGAGGGAAGTCCCATCTTACTTGGATTTAAGTTATAGTAAATGAAGAGGAAAATGCTAACATGCCATATTGGACACCACTTGTCTTTCGATGCCAGGTCCCTTTTCAGCCGAATATGTCAGAATTTTCTAGGCTCCATCTTTTCTTTTATTCCTCTTGCAGCAACCATAGGCTTTGATGGCTTCTCACAGGACAGAAAACCTGGATCATCCCAAACCTGCTCTGTGAACCCTCTACTTCATGTATGGGTTTCCTCCCATGCTGCACACTGTGAGGGTCATGCATCACCACAGCATGCACAGCTGAGAAATGTGGAGAGTGAAGGACCCAGGCCACATTGACTGTGGGGATGTAAGCCAGTGGAGACACACTTCCTGAAGTAAGATGCATTTCACAAAGCTCCCAGTTTCCAGAAGGATGGAGCACCAGTCACCCTTGGTCATGGCCAAACCCTCTTTGTCCTTGCCCTTTCCTGCTCTCTGGGATCACAGAACATGTGCACTGGACACAGCTTCTGCCTTGGAAACACCCAGACTAAGGTAATTTCTCACACACCAGTTTATCTTCCAGCTTCTGTCAGAACTTTAGGTCAGGTATTATGAGCCAGATAGAGTAAAAAATATAAACTTTAAAAATTATAATCACCCTCAACATGGCAAGCTTCTCATGGTAAGAAAGGAATGCAAGAATTCAGAAACTAACCCAGGGAATAGCAGGCTCAAGATTTCTTGGCAAATAAATTCACTTAATAGATCACAGATATTTTCTCATCTCAACACATGCTGTGCACAGGTATATTTCAAACCTAATCACCGTGGAATTTCTCATTTTCATTATTACAAACAAAGCTACAATAAGTTCATGTGTATTGAAATCCTTGCAAACTTGACTAGTAGCTCAAGATAAATTTTAGAATAAAAAATCAAATGGTATTCACATGTATATACTCTGAAGCATATATTTGGTCTTCAACAGGTTTCCAGGCATACAACTACTAAAATCCTTGGATTCCTTAAAGTGGTACTTGTATGTTAATGAGTTGACAAATGGCTAGTAGTCCCTACGTAGCTTCAGGATGGGAGCTGGGCACCTGAAAGACCAAGGCAGAATTAGAGAATTAAGATAGTCAGACCCAGCCCCCAACCTCCATGGAGGGAAGAAGGGATGAATGTTAAGCAGAACACCAATGGCCAGTGATTTAATCAGTCATGCCTACAGAATGATGCCTCCATAAAAACCCTCAAGGACTGGGTTCAGAGGGCTTCCAGATAGCTGAAGACGTGGAGGTTCCTGGAAGGTGGTGAACCTGGAGAGAGCATGCAAGCTCCACAGCCTTTCCCTATACCTCACCCTATGCATCTCTTCATCTGCATCTCTTGCGATATCCTTTACAATAAACTGCTAAATGTAGATGCCTCCATGAGTTCTGTGGGCTGCTCTAGCAAATTAATTGAACCCAAGAAGGGGGCTGTGGTAACCCAGACTTACAGCTGATTGACTGGTCAGACACACAGGTAAAAAGAACTTGAGGCTTATAATTGGTATTGGAAACGGGGATGTCTTATGAGACTTAGCCCTCACCCAGCAGACCTGGCGTTATTTCCAGGTAGATAGTGTCAAAACTGAATTGAAGGACACCCAGCTGGTGTCTGCCATAGGATTGATTGTTTGCTTGGTGTATGGGCTTAACCCCATCACCTTTAGTCACAGAAGTCTTCTGTGTTGATTGTTGAGTGAGAGAATAGAAAAAGCGCTTTAGTTTGTTTTTCCTTATAGAACATGTTGACATTATGTGGACATATTTAAATTTCCCTTCAGACACCAAATTCGTACTTTTGCCAATAATGTGTACAAAGGCATATATTCTCACAGTTTCACTAACATTTGATTTTGTTAGTAACTTTAGTTTTACTTGCAAATCTTACCTCAGTATCATTTTATTTGGCATTGATTTAATCATTAGTGAGGTTTAACATCTTCTGGTATGTTTTGGGGCTATTTGTGTTTCTTCAATAAATTGTTTTTTTCTTAAATTTTCATTGTTTTACCTTTTTGCTTACTGATTTGTAGCGGTAGTTGACATGATTCTACACATCTTTGTCATCATATAAGTGTTGAATCGTTTTTCTAGTGGGACGTTTTATCCTTTTGCTATGTTTTGTTTGTTTCCTTTGTGGTACAAAAGTTTTAAATGTTATATGTATTAAATAAACTATCAATCATGCCTTTATGCCTTCTAGTTGTGGGACTGTTCATTATTTCATTCAAAGAAATGAATTATTATTTAAACATGGTTTATGTATGCAGCCTGTATTGGAGGCTGAAGATGCAGGAATAAATAACTGATATCCCTGCTTTCATAGGATGCAAAAGTTCGGGAAGAGAGAATATTCACCAACAAAGCAAGCAAATGAGAATGTCGGTTAAGAGATACGATCAACTGCCATGCAGGGTGAGCCTGGAGAAGGTGACATGAGGTCTAGGGACTGCCACTTGCGCTCTCCCCTGAAACAAAGGAGGAAGTCACACAGCATGGGTATGGAGGGCATCCCAAGGGGAGGGAGTAGCCAGTATCAAGGCTTTGGAAGAGGAAGGGCTACATGTGTAGAAAGGCTGGTGTGGCTGAAAGAGAGTAAGGGAAAGAGTGGTGGGAAGTGAGGTCTGAGAGATCCCTCAGGCCCAGGTAATAAATGTCTTAGAGACCCTAGATGTATGGAATTTCATATTTTCAGACTATTTGGAAGAAGTAAAGGGCATGATAAGCCTTCATGCTTGGAGTTATGCTTAGAAATGGCCTGCGATCTTCCAGATTGTATTTATCTTCTCGTTTTATGGTTTTCTATTTTATGTTTAGGTTTTCAATTCACTGCATCTGCAGAGTGTGTGTGTGTGTGTGTGTGTGTGTGTGTGTAAGACAGATGTTGTTTTCCAAATGTTCAGTCAATTGTCCCAAAACAATTTATTTCGCTAGCTGTATTTTCATTATTTGCTTCAAATTATACCTTTACCATATTCAAAATTTCATATATGTGCAAATTTATTTCAGGAATATCAATTCTATTAATATTTATTCATTTATTTTATTTCATTCACATTTGTAACACTTTTAATAGCTGTTGATGTATAGTATATTTTGTCATCTAGTAGAACAAGGCATCAATCATTATCTATTTTTCTAATTTAGACTTTTCATGGTTGTCACTATGTTCTGCTCTACCAAGTTAAAGTCACAGCTAGTTTCCTCCTAACCCAAAACAGTATCTTATTGACTGTGGTTAGTATTGAACTACATTTTTAAATTAATGTCTGGAAAATTTACCATGTTTGCAGGACCAAGACTTCCATGTGGATAATGAACAAAGGAACTGAAGCACGGGGGTGGGATCATGTCATTAAGTACTTGCTATGGGTCCTGATGCCTCACTTGACTATGAATCCTTGGTCAATAAACCCACCTCTCTGAACCCTGTTGTCTTTATCTGTAAAGGGTGGCAAAAACACCAGTCTTGAAAGGTTTCTGCAGAGACTTAAGTAATGAGAAATTGGTACTCAATATAATGACTAGCACAGTAAAACCTCAATGAATGTTAGGAATTATTCCTGTCTATATATGCATGTAGATCTTTTATTCCTTCAGGAAAGATTTCCAGTTTTCTTCATATAGGTCTTGATTATTACTTGATTATTACGCTGCTGTAACAGAGACCAAAACTACAGTGGTTCAAAGGAGATAAAGTGTATATAGGTTGAAGGGGCATCTGTTCTGTAGGAGGTTGCCAACCCCAAACTGCAGAGCAAGAGCTACTGACAAACAGTAGATGGAGGTTCATTTATTTACTAAAAATGATAAACATTTTTGATACAATAGAGGATTTCATATATATTTTCTAAAACTAGACTGAGTGTTAGCAATGTGAAGCAGTATTTGTTAGAGCACTCAGAAAAATTTCTCATTAAAAGTTATACGTTATGGTTTTTTTTTTTTTTTTTTTAGTATTTATTGATCATTCTTGGGTGTTTCTCACAGAGGGGGATTTGGCAGGGTCATA
Source organism: Homo sapiens (assembly GCF_000001405.40). Taxonomy (NCBI): domain Eukaryota; kingdom Metazoa; phylum Chordata; class Mammalia; order Primates; family Hominidae; genus Homo; species Homo sapiens. The sequence goes on along the minus strand of NC_000001.11, from coordinate 247,522,859 downwards.
GGACAATAGTGGAGGGAAGGTCAGCAGATAAACAAGTGAACAAGGGTCTCTGGTTTTCCTAGGCAGAGGGCCCTGCGGCCTTCCGCAGTGTTTGTGTCCCTGGGTACTTGAGATTAGGGAGTGGTGATGACTCTTAATGAGCATGCTGCCTTCAAGCATCTGTTTAACAAAGCACATCTTGCACCGCCCTTAATCCATTTAACCCTGAGTGGACACAGCACATGTTTCAGAGAGCATGGGGTTGGGGTTAAGGTCATAGATAACAGCATCCCAAGGCAGAATAATTTTTCTTAGTACAGAACAAAATGGAGTCTCCTATGTCTACCTCCTTCTACACAGACACAGCCACAGTCTGATTTCTCTATCTTTTCCCCACATTTCCCCCTTTTCTATTCAACAAAACCGCCATCGTCATCATGGCCCATTCTCAATGAGCTGTGGGGTACACCTCCCAGACGGGGTGGCGGCCGGGCAGAGGGGCTCCTCACCTCCCAGAAGGGGCGGCCGGGCAGAGGCGTCCCCCACCTCCCAGACGGGGCGGCGGCCAGGTGGAGGCGCCCCCCACCTCCCTCCCGGACAGGGCGGCTAGCCGGGTGGGGGCTGCCCCCCACCTCCCTCCCGGACAGGGCGGCTGGCTGGGCGGGGGCTGCCCCCCACCTCCCAGACAGGGCGGCTGCCGGGCGGAGACGCTCCTCACTTTCCAGATGGGGCGGCTGCCAGGCGGAGGGGCTCCTCACTTCTCAGACGGGGCGGCTGCCAGGCGGAGGGGCTCCTCACTTCTCAGATGGGGCGGTCGGGCAGAGACGCTGCTCACCTTCCAGACGGGGTTGCGGCCGGGCAGAGGCGCTCCTCACATCCCAGACGGGGCAGCGGGGCAGAGGCGCTCCCCACATCTCAGACGATGGGCAGCCGGGCAGAGACGCTCCTCACTTCCTAGACGGGATGGCGGCCAGGAAGAGGCGCTCCTCACTTCCCAGACTGGGCAGCCGGGCAGAGGGGCTCCTCACATCCCAGACGATGGGCAGCCAGGCAGAGATGCTCCTCACTTCCCAGACGGGGTGGTGGCCAGGCAGAGGCTGCAATCTCGGCACTTTGGGAGGCCAAGGCAGGCGGCTGGGAGGTGGAGGTTGTAGCGAGCTGAGATCATGCCACTGCGCTCCAGCCTGGGCAACATTGAGCACTGAGTGAACGAGACTCCGTCTGCAATCCCAGCACCTCAGGAGGCCGAGGCTGGCAGATCACTCGCGGTTAGGAGCTGGAGTCCAGCCCAGCCAACACAGCGAAACCCCGTCTCCACCAAAAAAATACGAAAACCAGTCAGGCGTCGTGGCGCCCCCTGCAATCCCAGGCACTGGGCAGGCTAAGGCAGTAGAATCAGGCAGGGAGGTTGCAGTGAGCCAAGATGGCGGCAGTACAGTCCAGCTTCCGCTCGGCATCAGAGGGAGACCATGGAAAGAGAGGGAGAGGGAGACCGTGGAGAGGGAGAGGGAGACCGTGGAGAGGGAGAGGGAGACCGTGGAGAGGGAGAGGGAGACTGGAGAGGGAGAGGGAGACATTATGTTTTTCATAAACTGTTGAAAATGCTTACAACCTTGTAACAGTCTCATCAATCCTGTTATAATTAATACTGCAGGTATATAAAAATTGAGTGGATTCTCAATTTTTTTGGATTCCCAATTCCTAGTTGGGTGGATGGTTAGAAAGATGCCTATAGGATTTTCTCCTTGCAAAAAAAAAAAAAAAAAATGCAAGAATGTAAATTCAAATTCTAAGATTTATTTCACCACAGAATAAAATTTTTTTCTAACACAGTTGCTTGACTAAGTTTATATAGGCCCACACTAAATGCATGTGGTGTAGTGCCAGAGGCAATGTCTAGTACACACCAGGCTAAGCATACTAAAACTATAAGACAGAGCAGTGAAAAAATTCAGAGGCTTAATAAGAAACACAGAAGATTGCAACAAACTTCTTTTCCCTTTCGGAAATCAGAAGATAAAGTAGTATAGACGTAAGTTGGTTTCCCCTTTTCCCTTTTTGCAATGTCTATAATTTTTTTAACCTCTAATAATCCAATGAGGAAATCTGAACTGAAAATATAAGGAAAGACTGTCCTGCTTGAAGAAACAGCTATTTGAACATGAGAAAAGAAATTTGAAAACTACGCATTAACCTAAAGAGTTTGAGGCTGTAAAAAAAAGGCAAAAACGTATCCAAATTTGATCAAGATGTGCTTTATTTTATATAACTTCTGGGAAGTTTGTAGTACAACTGTATTAGGGGTCTCCAGAGAAACAGAATCAACAGAAGATGTGTGTGTGTGTGTGTGTGTGAAGAGGTGGGGGTACTTATCTGAAGAAACTGGCTAACTCAATATGGGGGTTGGCAAATCAGAACTCTTCAGGGTAGGCTGGAGACTCTGAGAAAAGTTGATGTTACAGCTGTAGCTTGAAAGCAGATGTAAGAACTCCTCCTTCCTTGTAGGACCTGAGTCTGTTTTCTCTTAAGGCCTTCAACTGAATTGGATCAGGCCCATCCACATCATGGAGGGTAATCTACTTTACTCAAAGTCTACCAATCTAAATGTTAATGTCATCTGAAAAAAATACTTTCACAGCAACACTCAGACTGGTGTTTAACCAAATATCTGGGTACTACAGCCTAGTCACGTTGACACAAAACTAGCCATTACAGGAACTAAGTAGTTCATGGAAATAGATGTAATTTCATTTATTTTTACAGTAATCAGAGAAGCGCACCTTTTTTTAGTGTAAATTTTAAAGGAAAATATGAAGTAAAAACTATGACTTGCCACTAAATCTTAAAATATTCCTACTTCAGAAATGTCAAAAGGTGAAAATGCATGAGTTGAAAAAAGTTTCATTTTTATCATAATTAGCATGATTAACATAATCACTGTCAACATATCATCATCATTTATCCTGGCAAACTCTCCCATGCTAAGCAGCTGTGATTTCCTTGCTCTACAAACTCTTTGAGTCCATATCTTCCCATACACGACCCTATGTTTCCTTAAAGTGATATTCCTAGATTTTCCTCTAGTACAGACATATGGGTTGCTTGGAAGCTTGTTCCAACAGAAACTCTCTAAAGCAGTGACTTTCAAACTTTTATATCGGTGTAAGAAACACATTTCACACACACATATACACAACTGACTCACTACCATGCATAGTCCTCTGTGAAATTTTCTAATCCATTTTATGCTAACCTAGAATAACGAATGTTTGCCGCACTTAAATTGATGTTGTAAGTGACATATAACCTGAAATGTAAAGGAAACACTGCTCTTAGGCAGATACATGTTACCTGCTTAGGGCCTGAGGGGGCAGGTAACAGCCTGAGGAAGTAACAGTGTCATCTGCACAGGGGTCTGGAAAATTCAGAACAAAAAGGCCTGTGGGAACAAGTGTACCCCAGAAAACACTCACCACAGACACACACGTGCGTTTCTGCCATGCTGTCTCCTTACTCTTGTATCTGATCTAATGACATTACCGCTCAGTGGAATCAGAGTCACAAATGAGCTGCAAAGCAGTCATTATCTGCCTGTAAAACCCCACTAAGGAAAGAAGTAGCAGCATCTATCTTTCCACCAGCACATCATCTCTTGCAATGAACTCTTTTGCAATTAACTTTGAAGGACATGGGGCAGTCAGTCCACCTGCAAGCAAAGATACAAAGTCTGAGACCCCTGAAAGAGAGAACGCCTTGCTCCATTCACATTCACATCCCTGCCGCTTTTTGTTTGTTTGTTTGTTTGTTTTTGTTTTTGTTTTGAGACTGAGTCTTGCTCTGTCGTCCAGGCTGGAGTGCAGTGGCACAATCTCGGCGCTTTTTTCTTTTTTTAGAGATAGGGTTTTGCTCAGTTGCCCAGGCTGGAGTGCAGTGGTGTGATTAGAGCTCACTGAAGCCTCAAACTCCTGGTCTCAAGCGATCCTCCCGCTTCAGCCTCCCAAGTAACTAGGACTAAAGGCAGGCGCCACTAGCCCGGCTAATTTTTTACATTTCTGGTAGCGATGGGTTCTCGCTGTATTGCCCAGGCTGGTCTGGAACTGTTGAGCTCAAGCGATCTGCCCGCCTTGGCCTGCCAAAGCGCTGGGACTGCAGGCGAGCGCCGCGGCCCCCGTTCCCCATCGTATTATTAATGGATGCCATTGTGCAGTGTTGTCCTGAAGAGAAAAAGCTTCGCGGACCACACGAAATCGCGGGGTGAGTGTTCCCGCCTACCTCCATGTCCTCCCGCGTCCAGCGGCTGCGGGCTTTCCCGAGAGCCTTCCCCAGGGCGCCTTTCTCGTCCTCTCAGCGTGGGGATGAGGGAATTCAGCGGCGGTTGCAGGCAGTTGAAGCGGGTGCGGCGCTAGTGCAGACGGCGTCACCGTGGAAAGGGCGGCAGCCGCGCGGGAAGGCCGGGCGCTGAGACCGCATGCGCAGCAGTGCACTGCCCCCGAGGGGCCGAGGCCAAGTCGCGCGAGAGGCGCCAGGGCGGCTGGGGTGGCCGGGGAAAGCCAGGCGTTCCACCCTGCCGGCGTCCACGCGGAAATGCGGTGATGGCCGGCGTCCCACACACGAACTGGCAGAGGCAGCGGTGACTGCACCGCCCCAGGTACGTGTACGCGGCGACGTCAGGGCGGAATGGCAGCTCCCGGAGCCGGCGCGGCCAGGCCAGACCAGGAGCCAGAGGCCTCAGAGGGCCGCACCGCACACCCACGCGGGCCATGGATTTGCCTGAGCCCCCGCGGTTAACTAGCACTTGGGAGAAGCTGCGAGTGCTGTGGCAGGAGGTGGAGAAGGGCCCGGTCGCTGAGGAAGTGGGAGTGTGCAGTGGGAGGGAGAGGAGGACGTTGGTGCAGTTGCCAGTCACGGCCAGAAAGTAAAAGGCCGTGCTGACCACAAACGGGACCGTCTCCAGCTTTGGCCTCTCCAGAACCCCAGCAGAATGGCGTCACCCCGCGAGCTCTCATTGACCCTCCATCGCCCTTGGCCTCATTTGCCTATTTAGAGAGGTTCACAGGCTGCAGTGATTAGAAAATGGCACGTGTTGTTCTGTCCTCTCAGTGCGGAGGATCCATTCCACCACCCACAGTTTTTAGCGAGTCTCACTTGCCTGCTGGTTATCTAGCACTGAAGGGCAAGACGTTAAGTAAAGATATTTGTGAAGAGAAGAAAGCTAAAACTTTTTTCTCAGTAGCACTCTGATCTAGTCAAGCGAGTTAACTGGGTAGACTTTTAAAAATAAAAATTTTTTAAACAAGCTTTTTGTTATTTTCAGAAATAAGTAAATAATATTAAAAAAAATATTTTGTCAGAATCTACTAACCATGAACCAATTTCTCTGCTACTGGATACAATCTCCTAAAATTTGTGGAACAATAGCTTCAATTAATACGATCAGCTCTCACATTTCCACATTTTACATTTTTTTGTTCCAGTGATTTAAAATCCACTGCATAAAGAGTACAGTCTCACACTCTGTGCCGACCTTGCACTGTGAACTGCAGGTTTAGATAGGAAAGAGACAAGACACCTAGTAATAAGTTACTCACAATACCTGTACATTTTGGGGAAAATAGCCTGGGGGCCCTAGAGAACAGGGGAGCCCTGAATTCATTTTACTCTGAATTGTTAAAGATTTGGTCCAATCTCTTGACTCAATGATTAGTCTGACATTATCCAAAAGACCAAAAGCAGCTTTGATTGTGCAAAGGTGAAAGGATTTTCTTCCTTGCCATGTCCACTCACAAAGAGCAGAAAAGCAAGGAATGTTCTTTTGTGCCTTTCCAGTCAATATTATTCAGTGCCCAGAGATCAGTTAAGCAGAATAATCAGGATCATTGTAGAGAGTTATTTTGGTAGTAAGTATGTCTTATGACCTGCACTCCTTCGTGAAAGCAAACTAAATATTCACATTATTAAATAGACACCCATCAAGTATCTGCGCTGGGAACATAGATCTCGCCTATAATTAAGAAATTAACTGAAAAAAAAGTATTTTCTGTATGTCAACAATTAAATGTTGGCTGTACGAATATAATTTTCTACTATCACTCCTTTTGGCTTGACAAGGACTCAGCTGCTGAAGAAGTTAGGTTGTAGTGTAAACAGAGGGTTACAAATGCATCCCTCTTGTTTTCCATAGCTCTGCTGTCCACGTACAGGATGTGTCCATTTGAGGTCTAATCTGAAAGGATTGTAGACCCTAAACTCAGAAAAGGGTTACTGTCTGATCACCAGCCATATATAAAGTGCAGTTAGATCTGGAGTTTAAAAAAAAAAAAAAAAAAACAGTCAACATGAAAGTTGTAGACAAACCAGTTTAAGGGACACTTTAGAAACTGAATCTATTATGAGCATGTTGTATCTGCAGATCTCATCATGAGAATACACATCTAGAACTAAACTAGGTCAGCATGAATTGGAGCTTGGAAATTGTAACATGGACACAAGGAATCATTTACTCAAGTTGTTCAGTACTCATCACCTGTGTTCGCTAATTGCTCTGTCGCAGACGTAGGGTCCAGTGTCTTTTAAATGCCTAAACTCTAAACCAAAATCCATAATGTCAACACAGTATTACAAATTGTCTTATAACATTTAGAAAAGAGGGAATGAGAGATTAGGAGTTCCCATATGTGTTTTCAGAAACACACAAGAAGGAAGTGGTCCTGCCGTATTGACATGAGTGTTCTTACTGTAGGTGGCAAAACACCCCTGTTCTTGTGGGTTTTAGGCCTTCGATTCACATTGCATCATCTATCACTCATTGTACCACCCTGCCTTCCTCTGCCATTTTTGCTGTCCACCTAACAGCCTAAACATCATACCCTAAATGACAATATTCTGGTCCTTCTCTGGGTCTCCTCCCCCCTCAACCAACAGATAAGAGTCTTATCAGCTAACTATGTGTAGGTGTGGTTAGTATAATAAATGTGCTTCCTGAGTCTGATCACTGCTGGGTTTACTGAAAAGACTGTGTGATAACAGGTTGGATTTGTGTCCCCACCCAAATCTCATGTTGAATTGGAGGAGGGGCCTAGTGGGAGGTGACTGGATCATGAGGGCAGATTGCTTCCTTGCTGTTCTCATGATAGTGAATGAGTTCTCACAAGATCTGGTTGTTTAAAAGTGTGTGGCACCTCCCCAGGCTCCTGCTCCACCATGGTAAGAGGAGCTTGCTTCCCCTTCGCCATCTGCCATGATTGTAAGTTTCCTGAGGCCTCCTAGTCATGATTCCCGTACAGCCTGCAGAACTGTGAGTCAATTAAACCTCTTTTCTTCATAAATTGCCCTGTCTCAGGTAGTTCTTTCTAGCAGTGCGAGAACAGAATGATACACTACATCTATTAACACAGGAAGCTGTTGGACCTACAAGGACCTCATCAAGGTACAGAGTTATTATATATTAATTAGTTACCATTCCTTTTTCATAAACAACATTTTAAACTGTATTTCTAAATATATTCTTGCACATTAAAAATTAAAGTTACTGTTGCAGTGCAACAATGTCTCAACCACAAACTTCACACAGGGGAAAAGTCCTTTTCTTCAATTACTTTGTCAGAGATTTGAAAGGCTTTTATTCATTTTCCATGCTGTCATTACTTAACTCATTATCTGGCTGCCTTGTCTAATGGCTCCTTAGCTTTCACGTGGTTCATAGTCCACATATTCTAGTTCTATGATGGTCAAATGGCAGCATTTTAAAAATAATGACATTGACACAAACAAATGGAAACACATCCCATGCTCATGGATGGGTACAATTAATATTATGAAAATGACCATACTGCCAAAAGCAGTCTACAAGTTCAATGCAATTCCCATCAAAATACCACCATCACTCTTCCCAGAACTAGAGAAAACAATCCTAAAATTTACATGGAAGCAAAAAAGAGCCCACATAGCCAAAGCAAGACTAAGCAAAAAGAACAAATCTGGAGGCATTGTTACCCAACTTCAAACTATACTATAAGGCAGTAGTCACCAAAACAGCATGATACTGGTATAAAAAATCGGGACATTGACCAATGGAACAGAATAAAGAAACCGTAATTAAAGCTAAATACAGTCAATTGATCTTCGACAAAGCAAACAAAACATAAAGTGGGAAAGGACACCCTGTTCAACAAATAGTGCTGGAATAATTGGCAAGCCACATGTAGAATGAAACTGGATCCTCCTCTCTCGCTTTATACAAAAATAAACTCAAGATGGATCAAAGACTTAAATCTAAGACCTGAAGCCATAAAGATTCTACAAGATAACATTGGAAAAACCCTTCTAGATACTGGCTTAGGCAAAGACTTCATGACCAAGAACCTAAAAGCAAATGGAACAAAAACAAAGATAAATAGATAGCACTTAAGTAAACTAAAAAGCTTCTGCACAGCAAAAGAAATAGCAGAGTTAACAGACAACTGACAGAGTAGGAGAAAATCTTCACAATCTATACATCCAAAAAAGGACTAATATCTAAAATCTACAAAGAACTCAAATCAGTGCGAGAGAAAAAAAAGTGGGCTAAAGACACGAATAGACAATTCTTAAAAGAAGATTTCCAGGCTGGGAGTGGTGGTTCATGCCTGTAATCCCAGCACTTTGGGAGGCCAAGGTGGGCAGATCATGAGGTCAAGAGATCCGGGCCATCCTTGGCAACATGGTGAAACCCTATCCCTACGAAAAACACAAAAATTAGCTGGGCATGGTGGTGCATACCTGTAGTCCCAGCTACTCAGGAGGCTGAGGCAGGAGAATGGCTTGAACCTGGGAGGTGGAAGTTGCAGTGAGCCAAGATCACACCACTGCACTCCAACCTGGCGACAGAGCAAGACTCCATCTTAAAAAAAAAAGGCGGTGGGGGGGTTGTGGCTGACAAGATGGCCAAATAGGAACAGTTCTGGTCTGCAGCTCCCACTGACATCAATGCAGAAGCCTGGTGATTTCTGCATTTCCAACTGAGGTACCCAGCTCATCTCACTGGGACTGGTTAGAAAGTGGGTGCAGCCCACAGAGGGTGAGCAGAAAGAGGGTGGAGCATTGCCTCACCCAGGAAGCGCAAAGGGTCAGGGAAGAAATCCCTCCCCTAGCCAAGGGAAGCCACAAGAGACTGTGCCCTGAGGAATGGTGCACTGCAGCCCCAGATACTATGATTTTCCCACCATCTCTGCAACCTGCAGACCAGGAGATTCCCTCAGGTGCCTATGCCACCAGTGCCCTGGGTTTCAGGCACAAAACTGGATGGCCGTTTGGGCAGACACTGAGCTAGCTGCAGGAGTCTTTTTCCATACACAAGTGGCGCCTGGAATGCCAGCAAGACAGAACTATCCGCTGCCCTGGAAAGGGGGCTGAAGCCAGGAAGCCAAGTGGTCTAGCTCAGTGGATCTGACTCCCATGGAACCCAGCAAGCTAAGATCCACTGGCTTGAAATTCTCACTGCCAGTACAGCAGTCTGAAGGTGACCTGGGTCACTCAGGCTTGGTGGGGAGGGGTGTCCGCCATTACTGAGGCTTGAGTAGGTGGCTTTCCTCTCACTGTGTTAACAAAGCCACCGGGAAATTTGAACTGGTCTGAGTCCACCACAGCTCAGCAAAGCCGCTGTAGCCAGACTGCCTCTCTAGATTGCTCCTCTCTGGGCAGGGCATCTCTGAAAGAAAGGCAACAGCCCCAGTCAGGAGCTTATAGATAAAACTCCCTTCTCCCTGGGACAGAGCACCTGGGGGAAGGGGCGGCTATGGGCACAGCTTCAGCAGACAAACATTTCTGCCTGCCAGCTCCAAAGAGAGCAATGGATCTCCCAACACAGCGCTCAAGCTCTGCTAAGGGACAGACTGCCTCCTCAAGTGGGTCCTTGACCCCTGTGCCTCCTGACTGGGAGACACCTCCCAGCAGGGTTTGACAGACACCTCATACAGGAGAGCCCCAGCTGCATCTGGTGGGTGCTTCTCTGGGACGACGCTTCCAGAGGAACGAACAGGCAGCAATCTTTGCTGTTCTGCAGCCTCTGCTGGTGATAACCAGGCAAACAGGATCTCGAGCGGACCCCCAGCAAACTCCAGCAGATCTGCAATAGAGGAGCCTGACTGTTAGAAGGAAAACTAACAAGCAGAAAGGAATAGCGTCAACATCAACAAGAAGGATGCCACACAGAAACCCCATCTGAAGGTCACCAACATCAAAGACCAAAGGTAGGTAAATCCACAAAGATGAGGAAAAACCAGTGCAAAAAGCCTGAAAATTCCAAAAACCAGAACGCCTCTTCTCCTCCAAAGGATCACAACACCTCACCAGCAAGGGAACAAAACTGGACAGAGAATGAGTTTGACAAATTGACAGAAGTAGGCTTCAGAAGGTGGGCAATAACAAACTCCTCTGAGCTAAAGGAGCATGTTCTAACCCAATGCAAGGAAGCTAAGAACCTTGAAAAAAGGTTAGAGGAATTGCTAACTAGAATAACCAGTTTAGAGAAGAACATAAATGACCTGATGGAGCTGAAAAACACATCACGAGAACTTCTTGAAGCATACACAAGTATCAGTAGCCGAATTGATCAAGCAGAAGAAAGGGTATCAGAGATTGAAGATCGGCATAATGAAATAAAGCGTGAAGACAAAGATTATAGAAAAAAGAATGAAAATAAATGAACAAAGCCTCCAAGAAATATGGGACTACGTAAAAAGACCAAACCTACATTTGATTGGTATACCTGAAAGTGACAGGGAGAATGGAACCAAGTTGAAAAACACTCTTCAGAATATTATCCAGGAGAATTTCCCCAACCTAGCAAGGCAGGCCAACATTCAAATTCAGGAAATACAGAGAACACCGTTAAGATACTCCGCGAGAAGAGCAACCCCAAGACACACAGTCGTCCCATTCATCAAGGTTGAAATGAGGAAAAAATGTTAAGGGCAGTCAGAGAGAAAGGTCGGGTTACCAACAAAGGGAAGCCCATCAGACTAACAGCGGACCTCTCTGCAGAAACCCTACAAGTCAGAAGAGAGTGGGGGCCAATATTCAACATTCTTAAAGAAATGAGTTTTCAACCCAGAATTTCATATCCAGCCAAAGAGAGCTTCATAAGTGAAGGAGAAATAAAATCCTTTGCAGACAAGCAAATGCTGAGAGGTTTTGTCACCACCAGGGCTGCCTTATAAGAGCTCCTGAAGCATGGAAAGGAAAAACCAGTACCAGCCTCTGCAAAAGCATATGAAATTGTAAAGTCCGTTGACACTATAAAGAAACTGCTCAGCTAGTAGCTGGCAAAATAACCAGCTAGCATCATAATGACAGGATCAAATTCACACATAACAATATTAACCTTAAATATGAATGAGCTGAGTGCCCCAATTAAAAGACACAGACTGGCAAGTTGAATAAAGAGTCAAGACCCATCTGTGTGCTATATTCAGGAGACCCATCTCACGTGCAAAGACACACATAAGCTCAAAATAAAGGGATGGAGGAAGATTTACCAAGCAAATGGAAAGCAAAAAAAAAGCAGAGGTTGCAATCCTGATCTCTGATAAAACAGACTTTAAACCAACAAAGATCAAAAAAGACAAGGGCATTACATAATGGTAAAAGGATCAATGCAACAAGGAGAGCTAAGTATCCTGAATATATATGCACCCAATATAGGAGCGCCCAGATTCATAAAGCAAGTTCTTAGAGACCTACAAAGAGACTTAGACTCCCACACAATAATAAGAGACTTAGACTCCCACACAATAAACTGGGGAGACTTTAACACCTCACTGTCAATATTAGATCAGTGAGACAAAATTAACAAGGATATTCAGGACTTGAACTCAGCTCTGGACCAAGCGGACCTGATAGACATCTACAGAACTCTCCACCCCAGATCAACAGAATATACATTTTTCTCAGGACCACATAGCACTTATTCTAAAATTGACCACATAATTGGAAGTAAAACACTCCTCAGCAAATGCAAAAGAACAGAAATCATAACAAACAGTCTCTCAGACCACAGTGCAATCAAATTAGAACTCAGGATTAGGAAACTCACTCAAAGCCACAAAACTGCATGAAAACTGAACAACCTGCTCCTGAATGACTACTGGGTAAATAATGAAATTAGGGCAGAAGTAATAAGTTCTTTGAAACCGAGGAGAACAAAGACAACGTACCAGAATCTCTGGGACACAACTAAGATAGTGTTTAGAGGGAAATTTATAGCACTAAATGCCCACAGGAGAAAGCAGGAAAGATCTAAAATCGACACTCTAACATCACAATTAAAACAACTAGAGAAGCAACAGCAAACAAATTCAAAAGCTAGCAGAAGACAAGAAATAACTCAGAGCAGAACTAAAGGAGATAGAGACACGAAAAATCCTTCAAAAAATCAATGACTCCAGGAGCTGGTTTTTGAAAAGATTAACAAAACAGATAGACCACAAGCCAGACTAATAAAGAAGGAAAGAGAGAAAAATCAAATAGACACAATAAAAAATGATAAAGGAGGTATCACCACTGATCCCACAGAAATCCCACAAACTACCATCAGAGAATAGTATAAACACCTCTATGCAAATAAACCAGAAAATCTAGAAGAAATGGTTAAATTTCTGGACACATACATCTTCTCAAGACTAAACCAAGAAGAAGCTGAATCCCTGAATAGACTAATAACAGGTTCTCAAATTGAGGCAGTAATTAATGGCCTGTCAACCAAAAAAAGCCCAGGACCAGATGGATTCACAGCTGAATTCTACCAGAGGTACAAGGAGGAGCTGCTGCCATTCCTTCTGAAACTATTCCAAACAGTAGAAAAAGAGGGACTCCTCCTTAACTCATTTTATGAGGCCAGCATCATCCTGATACCATAACCTCACAGAGACACAACAAAAAAAGAAAATTTCAGGCCAATATCCCTGATGAACATCGAAGCAAAAATCCTCAATAAAATACTGGCAAACCAAATCCAGCAGCACATCAAAAAGCTTATCCACTAATATCAAGTCAGCTTCATCCCTGAGATGCAAGGCTGGTTCAACATACACAAATCAATAAACGTAATCAATCACATAAACAAAACCAATGACAAAAACCACATGATTATCTAAATAGATGTAGAAAAGGCCTTCAATAAAATTCAACACCCCTTTATGCAAAAAACTCTCAATAAACTAGGTACTGATGGAATGCATCTCAAAATAGTAAGAGCTATTTATGACAATCCCACAGCCACTATCATACTGAATAGGCAAAAGCTGGAAGCATTTTCTTTGAAAACCAGCACAAGACAAGGATGCCCTCTCTCACCACTCCTATTCAACGTAGTATTGGAAGTTCTGGCCAGGATAATCAGGCAAGAGAAAGAAAGCCTATTCATATAGGAAGAGAGGAAGTCAAATTGTCTCTGTTTGCAGATGACATGATTGTATATTTAGAAAACCCCATCGTCTCAGCCCAAAATCTCCTTAAGCTGATAAGCAACTTAGCAAAGTCTCAGGATATAAAATCAATCGGCAAAACTCACAAGCATTTCTATACACCAATAATAGACAAACAGAGAGCCAAATTATGAGTGAACTCCCATTCACAATTGCTACAAAGAGAATAAAAAATGTAGGAATACAACTTAGAAGAGATGTGAAGGACCTCTTCAAGGAGAACTACAAACCACTGCTCAGAGAAATCAGAAAGGACACAAACAAATGGAGAAACATCCCATGCTCATGGATAGGAAGAATTAATTCGTGAAGATGGCCATACTGCCCAAAGTAATTTATAAAAGAATTCAATGCTATTCCCATTAAACTACAACTGACATTCTTCACATAATTAGAAGAAACTATTTTAAAATTCAGATGGAACCAAAAAAAGAGCCCAAATCGCCAAGATGTTTCTAAGCAAAAAGAACAAAGCTGGAGGTATCACACTACCCAACTTCAAACTATATTATAAGGTTACAGTAACCAAAATAGCATGATACCGGTACCAAAACAGACACATAGACCAATGGAACAGAATCAGAAATAAGACCATACACATACCACCATCTGTTCTTTGACAAACCTGACAAAAACAAGCAATGGGGAAAGAATTCCTTCTTAATAAATGGTGCTGGGAAAACTGGCTAGCCACATGCAGAAAACTGAAATGGACACCTTCCTTACACTTTAAACAAAAATTAACTCAAGATGGATTAAAGACTTAAACATAAGACCTAAAACCATAAAAACCTTAGAAGAAGATCCAGGCGGTACCATTCAGGACATAGGCATGGGCAAAGACTTCATGACTAAAACACTAAAAGCAATGGCCAAAAAAAGCCAAAATTGACAAATGGGATCTAATTAAACTTAAGAGTTTCTGCACAGCAAAAGAAACTATCATCAGAGTGAACAGGCAACCTACAGAATGGCAGAAAATTTTTGCAATCCATCTGACAAAGGTCTAATATCCAGAATCTACAAAGAACTTAAACAAATTTACAAGAAAAAAACAGAAACCCATCAAAAAGTAGGCAAAGGATATAAATAGACACTTCTCAAAAAGAAGACATTTATGTGGCCATCAAACATATGAAAAAAAGCTCATCATCACTGGTCATTAGAGAAATGCAAATCAAAACCACAATGAGATACCATCTCATGCCACTTAGAATGGCAATCATTAAAAAGTCAGGAAACAACAGATGCTGGAGAGGATGTGGAGAAATAGGAATGCTTTTACACTGTTGGTGGGAGTGTAAATTAGTTCAACCATTGTGGAAGACAGTGTGGCAATTCCTCAAGGATCTAGAACCAGAAATACCATTTGACCCAGCAATCCCATTACTGGATATATACCCAAAGGATTATAAATCATGCTACTATAAAGACACATGCACACGTATGTTTATTGCAGCAGTGTTCACAATAGCAAAGACTTGGAACCAACCCAAATGCCCATCAGTGATAGACTGGATAAAGAAAATGTGACACATATACACCATGGGATACTATGCAGCAATAAAAAAGATGAGTTCATGTCCTTTGCAGGGACATGGATGAAGCTGGAAACCATCATTATCAGCAAACTAACACAAGAACAGAAAACCAAACACCACATGTTTTCACTCATAAGTGAACGTTGAGAACACATGGACACAAGGAGGGGAACATCACACACCAGGGACCTTCAGGGAGTAGGGGGCTAGGAGAGGGATAGCATTAGGAGAAATACCTAATGTAGATGGTGGGTTAATAGGTGCAGCAAACCACCATGGCACGTGTATACATGCTTAACAAACCTGCACTTTCTGCACGTGTATCCCAGAACTTACAGTATAATAAAAGCAAATAAAATTTTACATAAATGCATAAAGTCTGGTATAGCTAATATATTATAATGAAATGTCAAGTATAATTCCAGCTCAAAGAAAATGCCACAAAATTATGAAGGCCTTTCCACAAATCTCTAAATTTATGTCCTCATAACATTACATTTCTATTTCTTCTTGAATAATTTCCTGATTTTAGCTATGACTCAGTGATAGTAAGATGGTAATTATGAGGAGAAAATCCTGCCTCATTTCACCACACACCTAAGTCTTAAGCAGTCACTTCTAACACAGCTGAATAATAGATACTCACCCAGCTGAATCTACGAATTGAATCCATGTATGTAAGATAAGGCCCCCAAGGAGTGGTAATAAGCTGGGAATGCCATCAGCTCATCTTCCTTCAGGCTCATATTTGTCATTGTCTCTTGTAGAAACAGGACAGTGTTGGCATTGGGATTGTTACAAACAGAGGGTATCAAAGGGAAAACAACTTCCCTAATTTTTGGAAAACAGCAGATTGGAAGCAGATGGGCTCCAATGTTTTCCATGTGTGAGGTCATTGTCCCAGGTAGCCTTGCTCAGGTGGGTGGTCTGGCCTCGTTTCTTGTTCAGCAAAACGGAAGTCAAACAATATTTCTATTCCAAGAGAAGAGAACATAATGTCAGATTTTCTCATGGATTCCCACTAGTTCAAGGAAGTTTCATGGCCTTCATTTATTTCTTCTCCAGTGGTCTCAGGGTCACCTAGAAATATAAGATACTTCGTTGGAATTTGGAAGATACCTCCTGCTCCAAAACTACTTCAAAGATGTGCTCTTTTTCCCTGGGAACAGAACCCCAAGTCAAGGCATCTGGCGTGGGAAGCATAATGTAGGCTCCTTTTCACCTCTCACATAGTAGGCCTGGTGTATTTATCTTGGGCAGAAATAAACACCTCCATTGCAGGCAGCACTGATGACTGAGATGCACACTGTCCTCCTTTATAAACCTTATTTTAATATAAATTTCCAGGAACTTGTGTTTGCCATCCCATCCCTTTTTCTTCTCTACTGTGCCTGTCATTGGGATGTTTTATTTCACAAACTAGAACACCCACTTCTTGGCAACAAACTTTTTGCTTTGTGACATCCACCAACCAAACCTGAAATATAACTTTAACTTTAACCTTAACCCTGACTAGAACTGCCACATTTGTGATTCTTTTAATTTAAAAAAAAAAAAAAACTTGATGTTATAATGGTAGCTTTTCTTCCCGTAAACCTATATACCTTTGCACAGAGCACCAGCTTAGCCTGTTTGGGTTTGGCATGGTGTGTTCCCGTGCGTTGTCTTTGATTCTATAATAAAATAAAGTCTTCCAAATTGGCCTCATTTAGGACACCTTCACCCTCAGACTTCTACTCTCTGCAAATACAGTTCTGCCTGAACTCTCTGCCTGGATCCATTCTATCATTAGCTGCCATAACTACAACCTCAATACCCCATCTTGTTGTTTCTTAGCTCTTAATTTGTTCATTTAATTGCCTTACTTGAAGTTTCTCTATTTCTTCTTTTTAAACTTTCTTTAGCTGGTGTTCACAGAAAAAAAAACTGTCAACTAAGAATCCTACACCTAGCAAAGCTATGTATCAAAAATTGAGGATTGCTTGAGTTCAGGAGTTCAAGACAAGCCTGGGCAACATAATGAGACCTCATCTCTGCTAAAAATAAAAAAATATATATTAGCCAGGTGTGGTGGTGTGCACCTGTAGTCCCTCAGCTACTTCGGAGGCAGAGGTGAGAGAATTGCTTGATCTCAGGAGATCTAGGCTGCAGTGAGCTGTGATTGTGCCACTGAACTCCAGCCTGAGTGGCAGAGTGAGGTCCTGTCTAAAACAAACAAAACAACAACAACACAGAACCTTAGGAAATCTCACAAAAATGTAGTTTTGGTCAATTTTTGCTATTTTAAATTCCTGATTTTTCCTTACATTCTAAAGCAAAGGACAATGAAAGCACTAATGAGACCTAGGCTGGAGGAGCCTGCCTTAGACTTAACGTATGTTACCTCTGGGCGACCCCTGCAAAATCTCCAGAGACGTCTGGGGTGAGGAATAAGCCAATACCAGCATTTCCAAAAAGATTTTCACTTTAGGCCTTCCTGAAGCAAGAGCCTAAGAGAGTTGGGATCCAGCAGGAGCACATTGTGCTCTCTTAAGCATTTCCCACCAAGCATTTCCCACCTGGATACAGGGCTGTCTCTAGGATGTGAGTGCTGGGTTACCAGAATTATAAGTTCTGTTGGGGTCTGTCACCAAGGAAGTAAGATCACTTTTTCAAAGTTTCATCCTCTGGGCTCCTTGCTTCCATAAGACCTACCCCAAGGCCCTGCTGGGCCACTGACTGCTCACTATCCCTGCATGTCAACTCTTTACCTGTGCACAATTATGCAAACACAGCCCTCCTCAGTTCCCTGGAAAGACCTGAATACAGCCAGGGCTTCAGGTGTGAGGTCACAGATCTGGGTAAGAACCTACTTTTTCTTACTAGTTCTGTCACACTAGAAAAGTTACTGTGGGTTTGGGGGCCTTTCAACACGTACATTGGGTAACATGCCAGCATCTCCTTCCTAGGGAACTCATCAGGTGTGTATGAGATAAAACTTGTAAAACTCATGGTGTGGCATCCCATGTAGATAATGCACACACTTAGAGATAAAAGAACTATAAGAAGGAATGGGAGGTAGCATAGAATACACCTCAAACAGGCCTGTGTCCAGCAGTGTGATATTGGAAAGTCGCTTCCCCTCTCAGCCTCATTTTTCATTCTGCACCAGTAAGAGTTTGAGATGAAATGGAATTCAGATAGTGTCATCCTCTGACATTACTCCTTTCAGTGCCTTCTCATTATATTCAGAATCAGACCCATGTCCTTCATTTTGGCCTATGTGCTGGGCAGCTTACAGAAAGGCTGACAACACTAAGGGGTTAATGACACTTTTGACCAACAGAATGCGATGGAAATGATGGGATAACACTTCTGTCTTAGGTCAGGCTGTTGTACCAAAGATAGACTGAGCCACTTATCCACAATAGAATGTTCTTTCTCACAGTTCTGGAAGACAGAAGTTGAAGATCAGGACGCTAGCATGGTTGGGCTCTGGTGAGAACTCTCTCTTCTGAGTTGCAGACTGTGGACTTTACGTTGTATTTTTACCTGACAGGTAGTGGAGGAAGGAGCTCTCTGGGGTTTCTTTTATGGAGCCAGTAATCCCGTTCATGAGGGTTTCACCTTCAGAACCTAATTACCTCCCACTTCCTAGTACTGTTACACTGGGGGCTAGGATTCCAACATACACAATTTTTGGTGGGGAAATGTTCAGTCTATTGCAATTCTCATGTTATTATCAAAAAAGCTGTGATTTTCTCCTAGTCACTTTCTTCTGTATTTCCTCCCTCAATCCCTCTATTTCTCTCATCTTTTCTACTTACTCTGTCCAGTGTTTTCTCGTCATTCTCTATGTCTTTCTCTTTCTCTGTCAGTATGTATTTATCTCCCTGTCTTTCTACTGTATTCCTCAAATTTGGAAAGCAAGCTCTAGTGTTATGAGCTGCCTTATGCGGAGGCCTACACAACAGAGAATGAGAGAGTGCCCAGGCCCCGGGAGACACTCAGGCTCTCAGTCTACACTGAACCTGACCGATACCCACATGAGTGTGCTTGGAAGCCAATCCCCCACAGCCCAGCTTCAGCTGAGAACACAGCCCCAGCCTCATGGAGCCCCATGTGGAGGCAGCCAGCAAAGCGGTGTCCAGATTCTGGTCCACATAAATTGTGAGATAGTAAGCATTTGTTGTTTAAAGGTGCTAAATTTGGGGACAGTATTGTCAGAGAGAAGCAGATCACTATCTTCTTCAGGCCCCAGAGTCATCCTTCCCTCTCCTCTTCTCTGCCCCAGGCTCCCTCTAACCCCACCGGCCTCTTTCTCACATCCTCTGCCAAAGTCACCTCTGCCTGCATGTCTCTGCACCAGGAGTGGCATCTCCCTGAAATACTATTCCCAGACTTGTGCAGGGCTGGCCTTCTGTTGTCATCCTGGTCATGGCATAAATGTCACCTCAGTGAGGCATTTGGGTCCCTCGAATGCCATGGCTCCCCTGCCCTCCCTCCCAACATCTTACTTTATTTTTATTATAGCATTTACTCTTCTTTTACATGTACTTGCTTTAGTGTTTTTGTCCATATATCCTCGGACTGTGGGCTCCTTGAATGCGGGAAAGGGCCACTCAATCATTTCTCAGCACCACACGCTGGGCCCACCAGGCACTTGGCATAGGTTTAGTTCTGTGGCAGGGTTGCTGAGTGAATAAATGAGGGAATGTCTAACCTCCTTGTCTGCTTCTGATCACCTCATAATGATATATTTGTTTCTTTTAAGAAACACAATAATCAGAGTTGATAGTAAAACAAATGACAAAATAATTATAATTTCTGGTTTCCTGTTGAGTATTTATAATAGCTTTTATTATATAATTATCCTTGTTTTTAAGATTTTCAGTTTTATAACTTTTACATAATTTGATTTTAATGAAAACCTGTTTTATTTAACTCTGAGTTGTGACAATAAATTTTATAGTCTATCTCCAAATTCTTCTATAGTTTAATAATTTTATTGTTTTTATGAAAGATTTTTGACCGTGATACTTATTTTGGAAAGAGGAATTCTACAAGTTTCCTAACAGGTCAGACCAAATCACATTTTATCATGCAGGATTTAGTATTTGATGTTCAAATTAACAGGTGTACCAGTTGATATGTCAAGTAACCCTGGGTCATATGTGCCCTAAAGAATTCTAAATTATTTGATAAATATTTGATTTTCTTGTTTAGTTTTAAAAATTGTTCATTATAACTTCTTAGTTCATGTACAACTCTGAACTCATGCACTAGATTTAAATTCTGCAGTTGCTTACATATCTGGCTCATGGTAAGGGTGGATCTTTAGATGGAACAAACAATCTGAGAATTTATGACAGTTGGGAAAATAATTTCAGAACAAAAAGCAAGAAGGAAAAGTCAATGGTGGGGCAGAAGAAGAGAGAACAGAATCATAAGGGACAGGAGGGAGATCTGCATGCCAGGAGGCAACCGAAGGACAAGGAGGGGAAGGATTTACTAAAAAATGTGTCTAGTTTTTGTTGCTTCTGATTGTAAAAATTTTCATCTTTAGCCTCAGAATATTTTAGTGGAGCAATGTTTAATTCAGGATTTCATGTGGAGTCCTCTGCCTAACAACTAAAAATACTGCCCATTGGACCCAAGGAATCTTTGTTTTTCTAAAGTGCCAGTCAAAGAAACAATGTTTCTCTGGTCAACATTCATTAATGTGGCCATTAAAGGTTCAAATAATCCTTGATGAAGTAATGCTATTCAGAGAAATAAGTGTAAGAATTGTAATAAAAGTATATACATACCAATAGTTTTATCCTAAAATGAAGAGTATTTAGAGTACAGTTTGTGTGTAATCCTGTGCACCTAATATCTCAGCCCTAATGCAATGGTTGGCCATATCTTAAAGCAGAAAAAAGCCTATGACCCTGGTGGGTATAAAACCAGAGAAAACATGCTCTATGGATTAAAGATGTTTTCTTAAGACAAAAAAAAAAAAAGAAAAGAAAATGTAACCAGTTTCATAGTAACTGACAGCAGTGTCTATCCAAATTGATGCTAATCCAGGAAAAACCACTAATTGTCCAATCTGTGAGGCTGGCTCAAACAATAGGCTCAAAGGGTCTATGCCTATGGTCTACCCTCAGATTATTCTTCTATAAAATAACTTCACACATTATAAAACATAACAGTAACACAAGGATAGCACAATGGGATGAAGATGGCCTGATTCTACCAAGAATGTCAAAGAAATGGGGTCTACAAAATCTAGATACCAAACTCAGAATAAATAGCTGCAGAACTTAATAGAAAGAGAAGAGAGTTCAGTTCTTGTGCTGGTTTACCACATCATCATGCACTTGACAAGTCAGGAAGAGCAAGGCAAAGGGGACCTTCATGGGTAGTGCACATAGTCAAGGCTGTCACCTATGGTAAAATATATCTCACTGGAATCTTCATGTGACCATGAAAATTAGCAGACCACCTGAGGTAAGTGCCCTACTCAAGTGTACCATTTTTTAATCTTTTATACCATATTTTTACTGTACCTTTTCTATGTTTATATACACAAATGCTGACCATTGTGTTACAGTTGCCTGCAGTATTCAGCACAGTAACATGCTGCACAGGTTTGTAGTTTAGGAGCAATAGGCTATACCATATAGTCTAGGTGTGTGATAGGCTCTACCACCTAGGTTTGTGTAAGTACATCCTATGATGTTCACACAACAATGATATTACACAGTGGTGCGTTTCTCAAGATACATCCCCATTATTAAAAATGCATGATTGTGTAAAAAGTAAAATGGATGTTGAAAGAGTGAAATTGCTATCTATTGTTTCATAACATATAACCCCAAAACTTTGTGGCGTAAACTCACAGTATGTATTACCTAATTGAGTTTCTGTAAACGAGGAATTCAAGAACAATTTATCATGGTGGTTGTGCCTCAGGATAGCTCATGTGGTTACAGTCAGATTTCAACTGGGGCTGTCATCCAAAGGCTTGACCACTTTCAAGTTTGCTCACATTCACGGCCCGCAAGTTGGTGGGGTTTGTAATTGAAGGCCTCAGGTTCTCTCCACATGGATGTTTTTGTAGCGCTGCTTGACTATTCTCACCAAATAGTTGTTGGTTTCTCCAGCGTGAGTGGCTTAGGAAAAAGGAAAGCCCATAAGTGGCAAAATCTTTGATGACCTAGACTCAGAAGTCACACATGGTCACTTCTGTCACATTCTATTCACAAGAAAGGATGATTAAGCTGCACATACCTTCAAGAAGAAGAGAATTAGGGTCTATGAAAGGACTTCAATAAGTTTGTGAAAAAATGAAAGTAAAACACAAAAATAAAATATAGAAACTTTATTTCTCAACATAAGCTTCATCAAGTTCAAGACACCTTTATAAGCAATAATACTGGCCTTTAGTCCATCCCTACAAAAAAACTAAGGTCCTGGGAATTTAACCATGTCAAGACAGTCTTTTTTACATTACTAACTGAAGAAAAATGGGTGTCCTTTCAAGTTTTTTTAAAATCAGAAAAGAAGTTAGCGGGAGCAAAATCAGAGCTAAAAGGTGAATGCCTAATAATTTTCTATTGAAACCCTAGCAAAATTGTCTTTTTTTGATGAGAGGAATGAGGAAGAATATTGTTATGGTGGAGAAGAATTCTCTGGTGAAATTTCCTGGAAGTTCTTCTTCTAAAACTTTGGCTAACTTTCTCAAAATACTCTCATAATAGCATGTGTTATTGGGGTTTTTTTGTTTTGGGCCCTCTAGAAAGTCTTGAGGATTTCACTGGAACAGCTGTGTTTGACCTCCTCTTACAATTATTTGAAGAAATGCTTCAGGATCTTGATTCCACTTACGTAAAATAGCAGTTGAAAGCTCTGCTGTTGTCTGCAGTTCATCTGGGAACAAGAGTTTTTGAAACTATTGAGTGGAAAATTTTTCAAAATTGTGTAAATTTAACCAATTGAGATGGCTGTGGTGTTGGCTGTTGTTTATGCTATTATTATTCCTAAAGCAGGACATGAACAAGATTATTTTTTTTTCTGGTGAACTGTGAATTGTCTGCCACTGCAGGCTTTATCTTCAATCTTATCATCCCTTCTTCAAATGAGTTATTTATTTGTAAACTTGCAAATGTTGGAGGGCATTGTCCTCATAAACTTGTCATAAAGAACCAGTGATTTTACTATTCTATCACCCAAAATTGCCACAAATTTGATGTTTGTTCTTGTGTTAATTTTAGCAGAATTCATGTTGCTTTAATAGGACCTCTTTTCAAACTGGTGTCTTAGTTTTCTTATTATAATTCCTCAAATTAGATCCTGTTCCGACATGTTATAACAAGTTAGTACAAGTTTATTTAGGTGCAAAATATTTCTGAAATCTATGCATAGTTTCTTCATAATATGCATTTCCCATGAACTTTTTGAAGATCCCTCATACTTTTTGAAGAGTTTCAAATAATTATTGAACATATTTTTAAACTACCACAAGAAAATTATCTATTGCACCGAATTTCAGATTTATCAAGTTTGTGATAAGTATAATAAAATGGAAATACCAGATGGGCAGCTTAGCTATTGAAATAGAATTAGAGTTAAATGATTATAGCGGTATTTAGTAAAGACCTGCAAGCATTGAAAAGCATTAAAAAAAATTAGAATAAAAGAACAGGATTAGATGTACCATTTAAGAGGAGGAAGAAGAGAGGAGAGATATCAGAAAAAAAATAAGAACACAGAGAAGGACCAATAATAGTAAATGTTATGTAAACTTTAAGGACAGCAAAACCATTCCTGTTCTCCACAGGAGCACTGACACTTCCTTGTCAATAGTATCACTGAAACACCTGCTTCCATTTCCAACATCCTGTCTTTGTGAAGCATGGTTTTTTGCAGTGACAGCAACCAAGATTATGGAGTAGACTGGACATAAGCACCACATTTCAGGTGTCACTGTCTCCCATCACCCTCTGGTGGGACTGTCTAGTTGCAGGAAAACAAGCTCAGGGCTCCCACTGATTCTACATTATGGTGAGTTTTATATTTCATTATATATTACAGTGCAATAATAACAAAGTATGCAGTAAATGTAATGTACTTGAATCATCCTGAAGCCGTCCCCCTGCCCAGTCCATGGAAAAGTTGTCTTCCACGAAACCAGTACCTGGTGCCAAAAAGACTGGGGACTGCTGCAATATAGGAACAATATAAAGAGAGGAAAACACGAAATCTATCACATCTTTAATAATATATGCACTGATGGTGTACAGAATACACTAATTACATTCATTCATTTAAGTATCAACCAATACCTACAAACCACATACAAATGCCTGCAATTGTTTTAGAACAGTGAACAAAAAAGCAAGAGAGACAGATAGTAAATTAAAAATATACATGTATGATTATCAAAGCAAGACCTCATCTCTATAAAAAAAATCTACACACACATGTCAAATAGTAATGAGTATAAGAAAAAAATAAGACTGAGAGGAGAAATCAACAGATAATTCATGTAGAACAAAGAAGTTTTTCTGCAATGACAGTAGTTAGCATCACAGGTTTTAGAATCAGATGCCAGTTTTAATCCTGGCTCTGCGTCTTACAGCTCGGTGTCCCATGGACAATTTAGTCCACTTTTAAATCTCAGTTTTCTAATTTTAAATGTTTATTACATTATTAGAAATAAAAGCACATGAACAAACATAAACATACATTAAAAATCAAGAACAGAAAAAATGACTGTATAATGTATCAAGAATAATGGTTATAAAAATAAAGACAATAAAACTGCCAAACTTTTTAGACAATTCTAAAGATTAGAAGATAAATATACATAAAGAATTTAGCATGTCGTGCAGCATATAGTTAGCCCATGGTAACTACAATTATTATCCTCATATTACTAAGGGAAAATATGTATCATAGTTGGGCATTTAAAAAGCTGCGAGACATAATTTTTCAAATTATGCAAACACTTAAAAATTCAATTTTATGTTAAATAGTTCTACCTTTAACATTTTTTAAAGAGATTCCTTGAAAGCATCTGTCAAGAATCTCATGTAATGCTTTCTGCTTCTTAAACAAAGTTGAGAAGAACTTAACATTAAATCAAACTCTTAAAATGTAGTTATATTAAATAAACTATTTAAAGAATAAGCACAACAGCTTTAACTTCTTAAAAACTGCTTAAGCATTTCAATTAAAAAATCATTTGTCTTTCAAATGCACAGGAATCTGTTTAGAAGAATTTTAACTAGAAAAAGTTGGAATTCTAAAGTAAAAAGTGCATAAGGCCATACAAATGTTTTACAGTTTTTAATTTAGATGTCAACTGGGGAAAAAACATTCTCTGGGGTTTGCTTTTATACCATTAAAAACTTATTTTTTATTACCAGCAATACAGAGTGACTCATTCAGGTTGAATCTTGAAGGTAAACTTTAACTTAATTTTAAGTTTTGGCTAATTTTGAAGCATTTCTCAGTCACCTACCAGCTACTTGGGAGGCTGAGACTGGGGAATCACTTGAACTCGAAAGGCAAAGGTTGCATGAGCCGAGATCGCGCCATTGCACTCCAGCCTGGGCAACAAGAGTGGAACTCCGTGTGAAAAAATAATAATAGTAATACATAGAACAAAAGCGAAACTACAAACAAAATTCCTCACTGATATAGATTTGAAATCCTGTCATTTGCGGCAACACAGATAAAATCAGAGGGCATTAAGTGAAATACGTCGGGCACAGAAAGGTAAACACCGTATGTTCTCACTGGGTGGGACGGAAGAAACAGTGCTTTGATTGTTAGTGTAATTATATCTACAATGACAAAAGTAAAAGAGTGGATCAGCTCAGTCAAATAACCTGGGTAATAAAAATAAAGTCAATTTAAACTGGACCATTTACTGACTTAATTCACCAGCTGTTGGACTTTTAAGGAATTATATGGTTTGATCCATTATAGATGTACTGCTCAGAGACAGAATTAAGTCAGGCAGATCAGGAAAGACCCAACGGATCAAACTATCTCTGCCTTTGCCCAGGGCAATGAGATTCCAGACACATTGACTTGTTAGACACATCCCTGACTGGGGTTGTCATCATCCACCCAGGCCTCAGAGCTCATTCCATTAGGGACGACAGAGACAATCCCCAAGAAACCTTCACCTCAGAGGCCCAACACAGACATAAGAACAGCACAGTTTTTAATGGCTCAGTTCCAGAGCTTGGAGTGTGTTAGCAAAAGCTTAATACGTCCTTCTGTGCCAGGATGGCTCAGAGGACATGATGAATCTGTGATCATTATTTTCACAGGATTTGGTCCCTTAGTCTTAAAATACTGATTCTTGAGATGCTTCCTTCTAATTTGGGAGAAAACTGTGTTAATTATCAACTCATGTGAAATTAAAGTCTGCAGCCACCCCCCAACCTGCTCTTTCTACATCCAGAAAAGCTAATCACATACCAGAGATTAAGTCGTGTTTATTCTCTCTTACTCATTTCTCACTTCCAGTCAAATCCTAAATCCTGAAAATTCTATTCCCTAACATCTCCAAAATCCAATTCCTATTCTTCACTCACACTCTAGTTTTCTTAATTAAATTGTTACAACTTCTCTCTTGAGTTAATTAAAATGCTTTTCTTCTTCCCTTTCTTGAGATATATTTTACATTGCAGCAAATGATCTCCCTAAAATACACCCTACTTATGCCACTCTCTTTCCTAAATGCATTCATTTTCTCTCCATGTTAGGAAAAATGAAATCCAAGTTCCTCAACTTGGTATTTTGTTAGAAGAGTGTGCCCAACAACCTTGTTCTTGCCTATGCCTCCATTATTTAACCATGGCAATTCCCCATAAGAACCCTACAAACAAACATGTCAAACTACCAAACTCAAAATACCTTTCGTCTTCTCTTTGACCAGCACAGTCTTTTTATTTTTTACGTATAGCATTTCCTTCCCATTCTTTTCCTTTCTAACTTATTCACTCTTTAAGACTCAAAACAGACTTCATCTCCTATAGAAACACCCAAACTTCAATGATCAAGTACCACCTCATTCATTCCACGGCACATTTTCAGCATCAGGTTGCATTTTTTCTTTAAGTCTTTCATATATGTATCTCCATTGTCCTAGCATAGTATACTTGCTGACAGAAGAAGAAAAAAAGGAAGGAAGGAAAGGAAGGAAGGAAGGAATCCACCCTTTGCCTACCCAGTTCAGGGGATTCTCCCTGCCTCAGCCTCCCAAGTAGCTGGGATTACAGGTGCCCACCACCATGACCGGCTGATTTTTGTATTTTTAATAGAAATGGGGTTTCACCATGTTGGTCAGCCTGGTCTCAAACTTCTGACCTCAAGTGATCAGCCTCCCAAAGTGCTGGGATTACAGGCATGAGCCACCGCACCCAGCCAGATTTAACATCATTTACAATCAATCTTACTCTACCTGCCTTCCATACACAAACTTTTTTTCAGACAGAAATTCTTTTTTTCAGGTACCATTATTGTCTTTCTGTACTTCCCAAATACTTTTTAAAGAGCATCAGAATTTCACAATTTTATGTTCTAGTTCAATTCTCTGGTCAAATATTTTCTTACTATTCCATCTCTACCTTACTGTTTGTTATATCATTACTTTGTCCAATTTTATTATAGTAGTATTTTATTCTATTTTCTTTCCAATTGATGAGAATTTGGGGGGAGGACCTTTGAGTCAGTTTCTTAAGTCCCTACAGAGAAATCAGATTAACCAAGTTTATCAAACTGTGAAATAAGTAATTCAAATTTCAGCTGTTGGAAATTTAAATTATTTTGAGCCTTAAGAGGAGTGTGACTATGTGGCCTGAGTCATGTAGCATACAGCTGCAACTTCTGCTTTTTCCTGTAAATGATTAGGAAAGACTAAATCGTACCAGAGATAAGATTCCTTGAGACCATTACCCCTTCTTGTGGAGTGTTCATGTTAAACAATTTTCCTTGGCACGTAGCCAGCTGTACCTAATCAAATCACTATAATGTATTTACTGACCTTATATGAGAACTACTGTAACTCTGCTAAATTTCTCTGCTTCTGCCTAAATCAGTAAACTTTAACTTTTCCACTTTGGAGTACTGACTCCATTTCTTGGGAGTCTGTGTTATTCAGGTGGCTAATTCTCAAGCTTTGCCCTCAAATAAACTCCACATTTAATCATATTTTCTGAATCTTATTATTTTAAAGTTGACAAAACTAAAGCACACAAGTCAATGGTCAATTTGTAGATGGGTTGATTGATTCCTCTCCCCATACCCTGAAACTCCAACTCATCACTAACTGTATCCAAGATAAAGGTGTTATTGGATGAAAACGTCCACTGTTGCAGTGTCAGTGCTAGGACAAATGACAGGGGTCCGAGTGGTAGTGTACCCTAGGAACTGTGAGTGGACAGGCCCCTATAGCCATGTCAATTTCTTTGATTTCCTTACAATTTCCAGGGTATTATATGCATTTAATGAATACTCCTTAACTTGATCCGTTGAAAAATTTATCACAGAAATAGCATTAATATAAAGAAAAAAACACGTGGGAAATGATGTTCACAGCTGTGGCCAGTACCCTCCTGCACATCAGCTGAAAATATACTCATTAGATGTATGGGGGTGCTTTCCTGGCAGTTTTTATGCCACAAAAACTCAACCAGGAGAATTGGAGTAAAGAAAAGGACTGGTATTTGGATTAACAGACAAATTTTTTTAATCTTTTATCTCTAGGATAATGCCCTTGGATGATTTTAAAAGAAAAACTTTAAAAGAAAAGATTTTAAAAGAAAAACTTAAATTTTTTATCAATAAAAAATAGCATTTGGATACTAAACAGTCCTAAAGTCCAAATTTAACCACATAGGACCTAAATGTGTAAGCAGTTAATGGAATGAAAAACTCCCTGGGAAATGTTTGACAAATAATGAATGCCATCTTAGGTATTCACTTGCCTTGTAATTTAAGCAACTCCCTTAGCCTCCCTGTGTTTTAGTCACATTATTTGCAAATAGGGTAAAGAATATCTATTTTTCACATGTCCTATGATCATCTTTATTATACAGGAAGACGACTGGAGCAATGGGTTTTGAAATATTTTATGCAATAGTTCCAAAACACCTGGTTAAACAACTTTGAAATTTTTTTCCATTTCTGTCTGGGTATTTTTGTTATCTCATAGATTTAGCCTCTGTGATAGTCTATGGACACGCTCTGCCCCATAATTCAAAAAGCCTGAACTGGTATTATCTACAAATAATGTGAAATCCGCACACTTACCCTGAATCACCACCTCACCCCCCAACCCACATTTCTATTAGGGTGCAAAAGTAGGCAGCAAAGTTCTCTGAGAGTTTGTGAGGGATCCTATCTACCTAATCTGAAAGAAGCAAGGAAAGGGTGTTTTCTACACCTGGAAGAGAACATTTTGCATCTTGCAGATAATAAATGGAAAAATACTGAAGCAGAATTTTACTAAAAACAAGATCTAAATAACAATTGCATAAGACCTACAAAAGAATAGATTGCCCAATGCCTGTGGTACATGAAAAAAAAAGTATTACTGAGAGACCACCCACCTCATATTTAACATACTTTGTCTTGCTTAATCTCTACTACAACCCTCTAAGGTGAAGAGTATGACCTCCATAATACAGATGAAAAAGGCTAGGCTTCGAAAGCTAACTGGTGAGAAGATAAATCAGTTCCAAGTCCAGATATGGATGATACTGTCTTCCCCATGCCTGGTGCACAGGATCATTCATACCCAGTGAAGGCAGCCAGGGATTCAGAATGCTACAGGAAGAGTCCTGGGTAATGTGAGGAGCTGGATTTTTATTATCTCTAAAACAATGATTTCAAAATCTATCATCAGTAACACCTAGGGAGCTTTTTAAAGACAGAGATGCCTAGACCCACACCTGGCATTGTAGATTCAGGAAATTTGGAGAGTTCTTGGAAATTTGTGCCTTAAGCGTTCTGATGCACGATCAAGTTTTGGAAACACTGCTTTTAGTAATGTCCAATTCCAATATGCACTGATTTTATAAGATTGGTCATCAGAGTTATTTGTGGAGGTTGGGGGTGGTAATTAATTTGAGTATAGGACAGCTCTCTTTGAAGTAGAATATTTACAGCTGTTTAATCTGCTAAGGAGAACAAATTCATTCTATCTGGATGTGTATCATTTGCTCTGTTCTTCCCAAAGGCTTGCATTCCTGACTAGAGTCAGCTCTTTTGTAGGTACTTTGGCTATGCGAAAAGGTCAAGGAGAAGATGCAAATAACTCTGAGCAAATTCTGCTTTTTCAAAAAGCAACTCAAAGGACATTCCCCACTCATACAGAACCAACCTGTATCCAGGACAGGGCACTATAACTTTACTGATGTTGACCCCTCTCTCTTTGAAAAACTGCCACAGAAGCAAATAAAAGGGCTTGAAGAAAAGGCCACTCATGTTGTCTCAATTTTTATTTGACATCCATGACATAATCTGCAGACTGCCCAGTGCCTTTGGGTGATTGAATTAGTTTTGTAAGTCCCCAGCAGTTGTGGATAAATCAAAAAGACAAGGAAAGTGCAAGATACAGCAGAGATATCCTGAAGCAGGCAACTTCAAACAGAAGGAAACCACTTCACATCCAGAGGGCAGAGGACGGGGTCAAACTCGAAAGCATTTTCCCACCCGCGTTCACTCTACTCCTTGAATATTAGTTCTCCACATGGCCACAGACACATCTAAGAGAGTAACTCCAGCAAACTGTCTACATTACTAGAGTGTTCCCCTCGTTGAGGCTCCCCAGCCCCTTTCTCCCACCCCAGAAGTTTCTTCATGGTCCCCTTCACATCCTTGTTCCTCAAAGTGTAGATGAGGGGGTTGATGCTGGGAATGACGATGGTGTAGAAGAGAGTCAGGAACTTCCCCTGATCTTGGGAGTAGCTGTTGGCCGGCTTCAGGTACACGTAGATGATGGTTCCGTAGAAGAGAGAGACCACTGTGAGGTGAGAAGAGCAGGTGTGGAAGGCTTTCTTTCGCCCTGCTGCTGACTTCATCCTCAGCACCGCGGCTGCAATCACGCCATAGGAGATGAGGATGAGGGAGAGCGGCACCAGGAGGAGAGCCACCCCCAGGGCAAAGGTGAATCGCTTCTACCAGCATGGTTTCCTCACAAGACATGGCAATAAGAGCAGGCATCTCACACAGGAAGTGGTCCACCCTGCGACGTCCACACCGGGAGAGCTGCATCGTCTGAGGACACATGATGAAGGAGTTTAGGAAGCCACAGCACCAGGCCACAGTCACCAGCTGCAGGCAGAGATGTGGGCGCATGACTGCCATGTAGTGCAGGGACCGGCAGACGGCCACATAGCGGTCATGGGACATGACAACCAGGAGGACGCACTCGGTGGAGCCCAGCATCATGTAGATGTAGAGTTGGGCCACACAGCCGTGGTAGGTGATGGTCTTCTCTGGACCCCCCAGGTTCCACAGCAGCTGAGGGGCAATGCTTGCTGTAAAGCAGAGATCTAAGAAAGACAGATTCCCAAGAAAGAAGTACATGGGTGTGTGGAGCCTGACATCCATGACCAGCAAGAGGATGATGGCAGTGTTGCCCACCAGGGTCAGGATGCAGAAGATCAAGATAACAGCAAAGAGAATTTTCTCCAGTCCAGGCCGATCAGAAGAGCCCACCAGGATGAATGCCTGTAGGTAACTGGCATTGTCCTTTCCCATAATCCACCAGCTATTACAGAGAAACAACCAAAGAATTAGATAAGGGGGCACATGCAGATGATCTGGCACTCTCCAATTTCCATTTACAGGTCTGTGAAGTTAAGAGAGCCATTTGCCCTTTCTTTGCTTTTTTAGAATAGACTTATTGAAACCTGTTACATGCAAAGTCGTGTGCCTGATGCCCCAGGAAGACGGGATGAATTGACTCTGGAGCTTCCCTCCTTGGTGAATAATGTGTATGAATAATGACAAAGAAGGGAGAAAGAGAAAGTTCTCTAAAAGAAGATGCGTTAAAAGGCTGAGTATTATGCAGATCACTCCCAAGTGATCAGGAGGGCCTGTGTAGAACAGTTTGTATTAAGGGAGACTGCTGAGTCTGAGAGTTGTTTTTGGTTGTTGCAAATAATAAGTAAGAATTTGACATGTGGCAGATTGAGCTAAATATGTTTCACAAAGAGGAGGTAGTATATACAAAGTCATGAAGGACCACATTTATGGGTGATGCTTAAGGAAGCCATGAATGTACGTACCAGGCAACTCCTTAATGGCATGTAATTTTATTAAGATGAAACACAGTGATTTTTGACCCTACAAGAAAGGACTGTGATGATAGGTTTAATTCTGCCTCTGTAAAACACAGGTCTGCAAATGTATGGCCTGCTATTCAGTTCATCTCTCTCTAACTTGGCTTTTCCTTGTGCAACATGGGAAAGAGGCTAGATCTTCTCTAAGTCCCCACTCAGACCTCACATGTCTATGTAACTGGTGACACTGAGTATATACCCTGAGCACTTTCAGCTATTGAGGATTTCCACAGTCTAAGCCAAGGGCTTTGATGGGGACTCTGCCTTATACAGCCAATATCCACCCAGGCTTGTATCTGCTATGATAATAGCAAACGGCATCTGGGCAACACACAAGAAGGAAGCTGTGGGAATGAGGGCACAGAAACACATTGAAGGACATGTGTCTATGCAGCCGCTGTCACCACCTGTCCATCCTGACAACTGACATGCTATGAGCTGTATCCTGTTGGAGCTGCAATTGGGAATTCTGTAGTTCCCATCCATTGGTCCAGGCACCGGACCCTCTGCAAAGCCCTATGAAAGGGTAAAAGAGGCAGGGTCTATCAGAAGTAGCCAGCCAAGTGTCAAAGAATGGAAGACTTTCAGAGGCTTCCTGAGTACTCACAAAGGAGACTTTCACAGACACACATTTTACAGGTGTTGGTTATTATGAACAACTTGTACTTCTGTATCCTCAGACCTATCATAAGTTTTCTCCCAGGTTCAGGAGACCTCAAGAGTGGCAATGACAAGCTACACAAATTGCTCAGCAACTTTATCACTTTGGGTGATAAAGTTGTGATCACTTTGGGTGATCTCAGCAAAGTTTATCACTTAGGGTCTGACTCCTTAACCAAAACTGCAAATTTACCTTGTAGTCATCTGTTCAAAACTACTTTTTTTCACAATGCTTTATTCTTTCAATCCAAAATGTCCCACTGCTCACCCTTATGACAAATATGCAGAGGCTCTTCTCTGTTTCACCTAACAGGTATTCAACTATAAATTAATGCATCCTGTCTTCTCACATTTCTTAGCTCTTTAGTTCAGAACCATGAAATTGCAAGGAATACAGCTCTTAGAAATGCCCAAATACCTTTAATAGTTTAGTTGACACATAATACTATAAATGCTTACTAATTTTGAAAACTTAGACGCCAAGGTCTGAATTGGGTTGATTCTCTGGCTGAAGGTTATGCCCAAAACTGTACCAACCCATATAGAGGAGAATCCACCAAATGGTTCTCTGTGCTTACTGAAAAGGATTTAACAATGCCAAGCAATAGAGCTATTTTTGCCTGGCTTAGGTATAGAGCACAACATAAACAATCACAACCCTTTCACATTAGCGTACATTAGACTTTTACAGAGCTTTCACACTCTAGTTTCAGACCATCATCACAGCAGCCCTGCAAAGTGGACAGGCCAGGCATTAGAATCTCCATGTTAGAGATGATCAACCTCAATAATAGAGAAGAAGAAAGAATAGCCAATGCTTGCACTACAGCTTCATATCAGAGCAAGGTTTATAGTGCCAGCCCTATGCATTAACCCAAGTTTCCATTCATTCTGCCTTCCTCCCTGTTCCTATTTCTCACCCACTTAAAGCTGTAGTTGTTTAAAGTTGATCACTCATTACAGCACTCCCATTAACCTACACATTACAATCCTAACAATAAAATCCATCATCATGAGCAGTTTCCAGAGAGAAGCTTGTGATCACTCTCAAAATCGCCAGAGATTTGCAATGCTTGATTTGTGCGAAAACAGAATTACACGGTTCTCTGTTCAAATCAGCTATCATTTTATCAAGAGACTAAAAAGATTGGTTTATTGTGTGTGCATGTAGGCTCAGAAGAGGCCCTAGGATTGGCTCAGCTAGCAATGGACAAATGGATAATGGATAATCACATAATCACTCCTAATCTACTTTAGATACACTTTGCTAGAATTTGGTGCATTTGATTGTTTCCGAGTTGGATACAATGTCTCTTTTCCAAAATGGAGTTCCAAATTGCGAGTTGGCATTGAGAAACCCGTTACTCTGGTGTTCTAACAGATATAAACTCTAATCAAAACTATTACAAGATAACTCTATATCTGCATACAGACGACTGAAGATACAGATATAAATCTCATTGCCACGACAAAGCTTGTATTAAAATCTCACCCTTGTTCTTCCCAGAAAGTAGAAGACCTATGATTCTGTCAACCCTCCTTACTTCAATTCCGGAGACCAACCAGGAGTTTTCTCATGGATAAGGCAGCTAATTCTTGTCCCTTTTAGTTTCTGGATCTTCCAGAGGAAATTACACTGAAAACCCTGAAAGGAGATTGAGCACAAAAATAATGTCTGTCCCATTTAAGTGTTAATAAGCCTTTAAGTAGCAGAGCTTGGAAGAGAAATGATGAACTGTGGGCAGGAATGACAAGCTAAGTGAGTGGTGTGGCATAGTGCCACATTTCAAGTCAACATGTTTTATCTCACGTCCATATATACAGGTAGTCTAGGGTCAAGGAGATGGCAGACCAGCCCCAGGGATAAAGGAAAGCACACTTAGTTCTAAGAGCTTTGAGAATATAGACAATGTCATTTGATTGGTTCATACTAAGTGGATAGGAGGACAACTTCAATGCCATCTCACCTTGGGGATTTGGAGTCATCTAGGGGCATGAGGAAAAGTGACATCAGCTTGTTCACAGAGCTAAGACCTCAGGGACTCGTGTCATCTAGAGATTGGCCCGGCCACCGCCCCCCCCCCGCCCCCCGCCCCCCACAACACACACAAACACAAAACTCACCGGGGAGGCAACACAGAAAGTTCCCAAATGTGGGGCTCAGGTATTCTTGAAAAGAGAATTAATTTCTGGGTTCTATGTCAAAACAGAAGTAGATCAATTTCTTCATTTGGTCCTGGACTCACAAAATTAAAATCATTAAAATGTGGGGAGGCAAGCATCCCCAAAGAATGTACATCCTCCAATATAAGAAATAATGAGGTAAGGGGGACACTGATATAGGAAACTCTTGGGTCTGTTATTGCCACATTAAGAGGCCACAGGAAACTTCAGTTCTTCCCTCCATTCCACTCAATATTTTTACCTCCTGCAGGGATGGGGCTACATCAGGAGGCTGGTGTTCATCCAGGAGAGTCCTGTGTGGGTTACTCTGCCCTACCTCTCCCCACATTCACTGTGCATGTGTCTTCCCAGTAGCCAAGGCTCTCCCATCTCACCTCCTACAGGAGACCTCTCAAACAGAAACACTAGATGGCAACATCAGCCTTCCATACAGCTGCCAAAAATCATGTGTGTGGAAGATTTTATTTAGCATTTTTAAACTGGCATTGGTGTATTAAGTCAAAATAGGAATTTCTTAAGAAGTAGCAGAAAATAGAATATCTCCAATTTTCTTGAATATCAGCTGTTAACATTTATTGATTAAAAAAACTTGCATACAGTTTGAAAAAAACACCTTATTTTCTAATTTTACATAAGGAAAAATTAATTTCCAACTACACTGTGGTGACTGACTTACTCAAGGTCAAATAACTAGTAGCCACTGGCTGCCCAAACTGGAACCACCTCTCACCAATCATCTTATCTCTTACCCTTCCCATTACATTAAATAAAATGGAACTGATACTATTGAGGTGGAGGATAATTAGTAAAGAGATTCAAACTATGGTTTTTCAGGCTCCAAGTTAACATTTTAAGTTTTTTTTTTTTTTAAATAATAAAATTGTCTTTTTACTGCATGGGATTCTGTCATTTCTAGAACTTTGAAAATAGATATTTCTAGCTAAAATGAAAGAGAATTTTTGCATTTGGAGTTTAACACAACACCTTCTATAGTATTGATGTTTACAATTTGTTTCTTGATTCAGTATTTCCCTTTCCTGGAGGAGTGAATGAAGTCCATTAGGTTCACAGTGCAATCTATGGCAGAAAAGGGATATGAATTATCTTTTCTTCAAGACTTATGTGAAGCTTTTTAATACACAATTTAGCACCCTAAAAGTGGTGGTGTTTATATTCCCTCTTATTTTTATGATTTTTTTAAAAATACATGTGAAATTTATTCCCAAGTAAAGAAACTACTATTCACAGTAGGATTTTTTTGTAATACATGCTTGTTTTCAATTATAATAAGCTATGAATTTATTATCATTTGAACTTGTAGATACATACCTAAAGTATAGTTAGTGTTCGGACAAGATTAATGAGAATATATTTTCTTTTAAAATTTCCTTTAACAGTGTTTCATTAATGAATACAAATTAAAAATAAATGGAAAAGGAAATAATTGGAGGTCTCTTATTAATGAACCGTGACCAGTTGGCTTAATTTACTAAAGCATGAAGATAATGAAGCCGTATTTTTACTCAGATAACAAATATTGCTAAACTTCTTCATCTCTCTAGCTTTTGTGTTTTAACCGTGAATTTTTGTGGATGTGTTTGCATAGCTTTTTTTCTGGAAGTATCTACAACTCTTTGTATGTGTGTTTCTTTGTGTCTGCTTATAAACAGGTTGAGATTCACAGAAAATAACTCAAATTTGGTATCAACAATTTTAATATAAAGTCAGCCCTCCTATCCATGGGTTCCACATCTGTGGATTCAATCAACCTTGAATGGAAAATATTCAGGAAAAAAATTCCACCAAGTTCCAAAAGCAAAACTTGAATTTGCTATGCACCGAGTGCTACATTGAATCCACACAAATGAAGTGGTGGAGAGGCATTATATCAAGTATTATAAGTAATGTAGAGATAATTTAAATTTTGTGTGAGTATGTGCATAGTTTATATACAAGATGACACCATTTTATACAAGGGACTTGAGCATTCGCGGACTTTGGTATCTCAGGGAGTCCTGGGACCAATCCCCCGTAGATACTAAGGGATGAGTGCAGTATTGTAATCGTTAGTGACTTTTCCTAATTCGTGTGAGGTCTGCAGCTCGGTATTTGAATACATGCATTTGCATCTGTGCCCGTTTTCTTGAGTTTGGGTATCTGTGGGAGAGCTTGAAAATGAAATATTTAAAATTCCCATTATGTAACACAAAATCCTTAGGATCAAAATCCCATATACATGTTTAGAACTTATGGGAAGTCCTAGAAATAGTTTGGTCCTTGAACAGTAATTAACAGCAATAATGAGGCAGATGAAAAGGCAGTCAGAGAGCTAGCTGACACCTGGCCCTGAGGTTGGGCCCTAACTCTCTCAGCAGCCACAAAACATGGGCAAGTTACCTATAATCTCCAGGCCAGCAAGTCTCAAAGTGTGGTCCGAGGACCAGCCCCATGAGCATTGCCTGAAAATTTCTTAGAGTTTCACGTTCTGGGACCCTACTCGAAAGCAGCTGAATCAGACACTCTGGGATGGGGTCCAGCAATTTGTGTTTTCATGGACCCTCTACGTGGCGCCGAGGCACAGCAAGTTTGAGAACCACTGGCATAGGCCCACATCTCTTCACACTCAAAAGTTCTCTTTAGGTAGACTGTAATGTTTCAGTAATATTCTTGTGGTACTATGACATGAAGAAATGTTTAAGATGGATCCATTAGACAGGTTGTGTTGCACAATTTTATTCTCCATGTGGGATTTCTGTGCGGTTTTGTATGAGGAATTAGGTGTATTTTTTTGCCAACTGTAAAATCAAAAATCCCTGTAGAAGTCTCAATGGGCATGTTAATGATATCATTTAATAGACTGAGGTATGAATTCTTCTACCTATATTCTTATCTTGAGATGTTCCTGAAGAAAGGAAGGTTTTGAAGCAACTCACCTGCATCACCTCATACCTGTTCCTGGAGAACCTGCTTAGTTGGGAAGGAGGGTGATTGTAAGCTAACAGGAACCACAGGACACCACATCACCAGAGACCGATGGAGATGCTGAAGCACTTTAGCTAAATTGTCCAATAATTTGTGTTTGTTTTGGTGTAAAGGCTTTGGAAACAAACAAACTTGGGCTTCAACCCACATTTTGCATCTTAATAACTTTATAATTTTGACAAACTAACCTCCATAAGCTTCCATTTTTTTCATCCATAAAGTGGAAGCACAATATAACTTAATTTAAAGGATTGTTGTAATGATGAAGTGACAAACAACTGTATATAAAATATTTGACAGTGTTCACACATAGTGAGAATTCCATAGGTAATAGTTATAAATTACAGCTAAATTCTTGTGTGGTGAAGTCTGAGAAAATCTTGAGGATGTGAAAGGGGACAGATACGGACTAAGCTGAGGATTCTTCTGTACAGTGGTCAGTGGAAAGAACCTGGTCTTAAAGCCAGTTTGAAGAGGTCATCAGCCATGGTACCTGGGAACGAGACTGGAACATCATTTTCTTTTGTGACTCTTTTTTTTTTAAGAGACAGAGTCTCGCCATGTTGCCCAGGTTGGTCTCGGACTCTTGGGCTCAAGCAATCCTCCTGCCTCGGCCTCCCAAAGTGCTGGGATTACAGGCATGAGCCACCATGCCCAACCCTTTTGTGACTTTTTTTTTTTTTTTTGAGACGAAGTCTTGCTCTGTTGCCCAGGCTGGAGTGCAGTGGCGCAGTCTCAGCTCACTGCAACCTCCACCTCCCAAGTTCAAGCAATTCTCCTGCCTCAGTCTCCTGAGTTAGCTGTGATTGCAGGCATGTGCCACCACCACGCCCAGCTAACTTTGTATTTTTAGTAGAGATGGGTTTTCGCTATGTTGGCCAGGCTGGTCTGGAACTCCTGACCTCAGGTGATCCACCCACCTCAGCCTCCCGAAGTGCTGTTCTTACAGGTGTGCACCACCATGCTTGGCCTCCCTTTGTGACTCTTAAGAAGATCATTAACACTGATTTTGTGGAGTGACTGATTATCATATTATACTTTGTATGTTCTTACCTTTGTAATATCACTCCTCCTCTGTTCTCCTAAGCCTATCTGCCAACTGCTCCTCCATTCTTTTTTCATTCACTATTTTAGGTATTCCAGAAGAAAATGGGTAAAGAAATAGAGCTAGTAAGTGTTTGAAGGCATTTATTTTTTAACATTTTCATTACAGTGTATCATGCATAGAGAAATGTGCTTAGATCAAAAAGTGAGCACAACCATCTAACCACCATTCAGGTTAAAAAAAAAAGAAAACAACACCCAAAGTCCCCTCATAACCTTTCTCCGTCATCCTACTCAAACCCTATCTGCTCAATAACACTATAGATTAGTTTTCCTTTCTGTTGAAATTTACATAAGTGAAAGCAAATGGCAGGTTTATTTTTATTTCTGGATTATTCTGTTCAATGCTGCTCTTACTCATTTCATTGTGGATAATATCCATGATACGAATACATCCCACTTTATTTGTTCATTTTACTGTGCACAGATATTGGATCATTTTCTGTTTTGGGCTGATACAAATAAGACTGCTGTGAGCATTATTGTAGGGTTTTTTTTTGTGCAGACAGGCACTCATACCTGTTAAATGTCTGTCCAGAAGTAAAATCATGACCTTAGGAAATGCACATGTTCACATTTAATGAAAAAAAAAATGCCCAATAGTTTTCTAAAATGTCATAACAATTATACTCCCACTAATAGTGAATGGCGTTCTTGGCTCCATTTCTCCATCATGTGGTATGGTCAAGTTTTAAATTTCAGGCCTCAGGCATGTTAGTAATCCTTCTATGTGTTTTCATTTGCAATTCACTGACTAATAATAAGTTGGGAATCTTCTCATAAATTCATTGACTATTTAGATAGCCTCTTTTAAAAAATGTCTTTTTAAGTAGCCTGTTTTTCTATTGGATTCTTACCTTTTTTCCTATCTATTTATACAAATTTTTCATGTGGCTTGGCTATGAAACCTTTATCAGTTATGTGTAATACAAATATCTTTTTTTTCAAATCATGGGCTTGCTTTTCCCTGCTCTTACTCTTGTCTTTTGATACAGTACTTAATTTTAACGCAGTCCTATTTACTGATGGTTTCCTTTATAAATACTGCTTTTGGTGTTTTGTTTAACAAATTATTCTGTATCTTTTCTAGCTTCATATTGTCTCTTAAAAACATGGCTTCTAGCTTACTGGGTCCTCACTTGGTATGCCTGCCAGGGTTAGGGCTGGGGGATAGCTAGGGGCTCAGCCAGTGTGTTTCCAAGAACAGAAAGAACATGAGGGAGCATCTGAAGGGTGTTAGCCAACATGACCAGTGCCAAAGACATGGCACAGGTTGCCAAAGATAAGTTATATACTGACAGATTGAGAAAATAAGTAAATATATTGAGGTTACTGGAGGCCTAGTTTTTCACTATTGGAAAGGGAGATTCCATATAAGGAAAGAGGAAGACTACAATACATCTTATGGTATTGAATTTTAATTGGAAATATCAGTATATATTCATGATTTTAAAATACACACAGAGGGCTTGGTGCGGTGGTGGACACCTGTAATCCCAGCATTTTGGGAGGCCGAGGCGGGCGGATCACCTGGAGTCAGAAGTTTGAGACCAGCCTGGCCAACATGCTGAAACCCCGTCTGTACTAAAAATACAAAAATTAGCCGGGCATGGTGGCAGGCGCCTGTAATCCCAGCTACTTGGGAGGCTGAGGCAGGAGAATCGCTTGAACCCAGGAGTTGGAGGTTGCAGTGAGCTGAGATCATGCCATTGCACTCCAGCCTGGGGTACAAGAGCGAGACTTCGTCTCAAAAAAAAAAAAAAAATACACATGGAGATTTATGTAGATATAGAAGTGTGTGTGTGTGTGTGTGTGTGTGTGTGTGTGTGTTCATGCATGCATATTTCCTAGCTCTTAGCTGAGAACACCTAAAAACGTTAACACTGCAGTAGCACTGAGCATTCCCAACACCCATTATTTAGTTACTAAATCCCTTCTCCACTAAAAAGAAGTTCTTGGGAGAAACAGTTGTGGATTCAGGCCTGGAGCAAGAGGTGATGAAGGAAGAATAACAGGTCCATCATCTGGACACAGGAACCAGATTGAACAAGTTCTGCTAATAAAATATTGGAAAATTTTTGAGTCTCAAAATAAATAGTGTAAGAGATTATAACTCATTTATACTATACTCTTGTTTTTCTCATAACTCCTCCCATTGTATGAAATTATCTTTTGAACCTACTTGTTTGCTTACTAGTTAAAGTCTCCCCAACCCAGGATATAAACTAAGTGAGAACAGGCACCTCACCCATCACCTTTTCCATTATATCATCCTTACCTAGAGTAGAGTTGCAGATAAATAAATAGTTGACAGATGATGATGATGATGATACATAGATGATTGATAGATAATAGATAGATGATATATAGATAGATAGATAGGAGATAGGTAGTAGATGGTAGATGGTAGATGGATGGAGAGATGGAAAGAGAGAATGGCTGAATGAATGAACAAACAGAACTCCCTGTGATAATTAGGTGGAAAACTATAGGGAATATTGATTTACTCTAATTGCCCATTGTGCATACCAAAATCTTCACTTATATTAATATAGAGTTTATATGGTATAAGTCGGTGCATAGCAATATCTAGAGGAACTCATTTACATACAACTTAGGAAGCAATCACTTCTCAGTAAAAGAGCCAGCCTCCTACTTGATTAGAGAAAACAGAATTCATAAGACAGAGAATTCCTCCATTCCCATTCTAACTCTGCAGGCTCTCTGCAGCCTCGGTTGCTATGCTCCTTTGCCCTGTCTCAGTGGAAAGAG
Source organism: Homo sapiens (assembly GCF_000001405.40). Lineage (NCBI taxonomy): Eukaryota > Metazoa > Chordata > Mammalia > Primates > Hominidae > Homo > Homo sapiens. Next base: position 247,480,841 of record NC_000001.11, on the reverse strand, counting down.
GGGCTCTACTCCTGTCGAAGTCCATGCTATGTGCTATGGGCTTCCCTCCTCTCACATGCCTGGGACTCCCTTGTATGGGACATTCCTTCTTGTTGCTATTTCATATCCATCATCCCTTCCTACTGGTATTAGCAATCTCTTAAAAAAAAAAAAAACCCTTCCTTTCAAATATCAGCATAAATTTACTGAAACTAAAATAATGTTGAGTTGCCAAAAAACATTACAAATCATTGAGAATATAAAACTAGTACTAATATATGTGGGGAGATTAGCATAAAATGAGGATGGAGAACACATTAATTCAATAAATGATGTTTTTAAAATGGCAAAAGTCACATGAAATAAAACATCATTTTACACTTAAAACTACAACAAAACTTAAATGTGTCAGTGCTTTAAAGGCAGAAAAATAAATCCAGAGTGTCACCATAAGAAAGATATCTATTCTATAAGCAAACATTACAGCATCAGCATCCCTAAGATGCTAAGAGTTAGCATCCCTAAGATGCTACATATCATGATGATGCTATCATGATGATGCTACATATCAAGATGATGCTATGTATCATCTTAGCATCCCTAAGATGCTAAGAGTTCTTACATAAAAACATGTAAAAATGCACCTTCTAATGGGTTGAATTGTGTCTCCCTCAATTTTTTATATTGAAAGCCTAACCTCCAGGAACACAGAATGTGACTATATTTGAAGATAGGGTCTTTAAAGAAGAAATTAAGTCACAATGAGGCTATTAGGGAGGGCTCTAAACCCTAAAATTCACCAATATGACTGGTGTTCTTATAAGAAGAGATTGGGAGAAAATGGGAAGTCTTCAGTAAGGAAACAGATTACGTGGTCCCAGCCGTTGCTCCCCAACAAGAACAATGATTTAACTACTCCCAGATAAAAATAACTCTGGGAGAGCTCCAGGGTACAAATAGCAAGGTTCAGCAGCCCATTGAAGCAGGAAAACTGAGGATGGCCGTATAGAAAGCACTGGAAGCATTGGACCTGTGTTAACCTATTCCCCAGCCCAGCACAGCTCAGGGCCAACAGGGATCTCCTTGGCTGCAACCTCCCTCCAAAGGGAAAAAGTGAGGCAGGAGGACATCAGCAGGCCTTGGTTCCGCCCGCACACATGCAACCTTCACGACAGAGCACCACCGCCATCTTTGCTGCCGCTAACACTAGCTAACACTATCGGATGGAGCGATCCAAAGTCCACAGTGCTGCATCCACCTGGGAGCAGGAGCTGCCGCTGAGCTCCGTCTAAACTGGAGCAGCTGCACCATGCTGTGGCTCAACCTGTGTTCTCATGTTCAAGGCAGTCGGATCACTTGAGGCCAGGAGTTTGAGACCAGCCTGGCCAACACAGTGAAAGCCCGTCACTAATAAAAGTACAAAAAGTAGCCCAGTACGGTGGTGCATGCCTGTAATCCCAGCTACTCGGGAGGAGGCTGAGGAAGGAGAATCGCATGAGCCTGGAAGGCGGAGGCTGCAGTGAGCTGAGATCATTCCACTGCACTCCAGCCTGGGCAACAGAGGGAGACTCTGTCTTCAAATAAAAAAAAGAGAAAAGAAAAAAGTAAATACATTATTCTTTTGTTGCAAGGATTCTGACTTCATTGTCAAAATGACATATTTTATTAACAGCTTTCTTTCTTTCCTTTTGTCTCCCTCAAGCAACCTCTTTGTAACCTCTGCTATTTTTCCCACCTTTTCTTGCTTAAAGTTGTCATAATTGATACTGCCATAGGAACCCAGACTCCTCTATGTATAAAATGTAAGTCTTCTGCAATCTCTACAACCAACCATCTCGACTTGAACCACAGAATGCCAAAAAGGTGGTAGAGACCTGCAGGCCGAGGAACGGAACGGCCTCTTTTGTGAATCAAATCAGGTGAGTATAAAATAAGATTGGTGGAGAGTTTTTAGATGTGGGAGTGAAATAACTCAGAACCAGAAAGTCAAATACCACATGTGCTCACTTGTAAGTGGAGCTAAATAATGTGTACACATGGAGGAAGAGTGTGAAATAATAGTGAATGGCCGGGTGCGGTGGCTCACGCCTGTAATCCCAGCACTTTGGAAGGCCGAGGTGGGCCGATCACGAGGTCAGGAGTTCAAGACCAGCCTGGCCAACATGGTGAAACCCCGTCTTTACTAAAAATACAAAAATTAGCCGGGCTTGGTGGTGAGCGCCTGTAATCCCAGCTACTCGGGAGGCTGAGGCAGGAGAACCGCTTGAACCCAGAATGCAGAGGTTGCGGTGAGCCAGGATCAGGCCACTGCACTCCAGTCTGGGGGACAGGAGTGAAACTCCGTCTCAATAAATAAATAAATAAAATAATAGACAGTGAAGCCTCAGAAGGGTGAAACAGGGATAAGGGATGAGAAATTACTTAATGGGTACAATGTACACTATTTGCACGATGGTTACAGCCAACACCTAGACTTTACCACTATGCAATATATCCATGTAACAAAACTGCATTTGTATCCCTTACATTTATACAAATAAAAAACATGTATTTGTGACAGTTGTCTCTCCAAGCTGGGAGTGCATAAGCTCATCACCAGCTCCCCCATGGTGGGGAAAAGTCATTTTAGCCAATAACTTGTTCATAAAGTAAAACTAAGCAGTTTCGTCCTCTCTGAAGTTCTCTGAATGGTGGTGATAATAGTTAACATTGGAAGACTGGAACAAAATAATGGTTTTCATTGTAGAAAAAGTACAGTTCAAGAAAAACTGTACTGTGAAATACAGTATTTCATAAGGATACCATAAAGTTGCCCCCATGGCAAGAAAATAAAAATCTATCCATCCAAATAACTTCTCAATTTTCTACTGAAGTGATGTGTTTAATGTTTAAAGTATACTGCTTCACATGTAATTTTTTTCAAAAAACCTGTTTATTTCAGCCAATTCAAGAAAATGTCAGTAAAACTGATTATTTGACATTATGTTGGTAGATTTTTTAAACTTATAAAATATTTTGGATTTATAGATACATAGACAAAATAAGATAACAATGGACAGACTAACCACCACTCAGCTTTATAAAATTTTAACATCTGCATTACATGTTCCAGGTCTTTTATGAAATAAAACATAGGTATATTCAAAGATCCTGAGAACATATTATTTCCCTCTTTCCACAGAGGTAAAACAAATTTTATGTTTATCATTTTCAAACATATATTCAAATTCATTTTAATTCATACATGTATTCAAAAATAATAAAGTATTTTTGCACACTTTAAAACTTTACATAAATGGTATAATACTGATGTTATCATTCTGAACTTTTTTTGTTCTCTCAACATTTATGGGTATTTTTGGTTTTTTTAAACTTTTATTTTAGGTTCAGTGATACATGTGCAGCTTTGTTATACAGGTAAATTGCACATCACAGGGGTTTGGTGTACAGATTATTTTGTCATCCAGGTACTAAGTATAGTGCCTGATAGGTAGTTTTTTGATCCTCACCCTCTTCCTACCCTTCACCCTCAGGTAGGCCCTGGTGATCATTGTTCCCTTCTTTGTGGCCACATGTACTCAAAGTTTAGCTTCCACTTACAAGTGAGAACATGCAGTATTTGGTTTTCTGTTCCTGTGTTGGTTTGCTTAAGATGATGACCTCCAGCTCCATCCATGTTATTGCAAAGGACATGATCTCATTCTTTTTGTGGCTACATAGTATTCCATTGTCTATATGTACCACATTTAAAAACTCCAGTCTACGGATGATGGGCTTTTAAATGGATTCCATGTCTTTGCTATTGTGAATAGTTGTTGGGTCAAATGGTAGTTCTGAGTTCTTTAAGAAATCACCAAACTGCTTTCCACAAGAGCTGAACTAATTTATATTCCCACCAGTCACGTATATGAGTTCCCTTTTCTCCACAACCTTGCCAGCATCTATTATTTTTTTGACATTTTAATAATAGCTATTTTGACTGGTGTGAGATGGTATCTCATTGTGGTTTTGATTTGCATTTTTCTGATGTGGAGCTTTTTTTTTATTTTTTGAGATAGGGTCTCACTCTGTCACCCAGGCTGGAGTGCAGTGGTTTGAGCACTGCAATCTCTGCCTCCACAGGCTCAGGTGATCCTCCCACCTCAGCTTCCTAAGTAGCCACCATGCCTGGATAATTTTTATATTTTTTGTAGGGATGGAATCTCACTGAGAGAAGAGAGAGACCCTCTCATACTGTTTTATATTGTTTTATACTCAGTACCTGTTTTAAGAAAAAACCAAGGAAGTGAAACCAAAGGCAGGCAGCCTGGCGCCAGGCACCAGACCCAAAATCAGACCCGAAACCAGGCCTGGGCCTGCCTGGCCTAAACCTAGTAGTTAAAATTCCACCCCTGACCTAGCAACTGATGTTATCTATAGATCCCAGACATTGTATGGAAGGACATTGTGAAACCTCCCATTCTGTTCTGTTTCACTCTGACCACCGGTGCATGCGGCCCCTGTCACATACCCCCTGCTTGCTCAAATCAGTCACGACACTTTCATGTAAAATCTTTAGTGTTGTGAGCCCTTAAAAGGGACAGAAATTGTGCACTCAGGGAGCTCAGATTTTAAGACAGTAGTTTACTGATGCTCCCAGCTGAATAAAGCCCTTCCTTCTACCACTCGGTGTCTGAGAGGTTTTGTCTGCAGCTCGTCCCGCTACATCACTGTGTTGCCCAGGCTGGTCTTGAACTTTTGGGCTCAAGTGATCCTCCCTCCTCAGCCTTCCAAAGTGCTAGGATTATAGGTGTGAGCCACTGTGCCCCATGTATGTTGAGCACTTTTTCATATGCTGAATGGTCACATGTATGTCTTCTTTTGAAAAGTGTCTGTTCATGTCTTTTGCCCACTTTTTAATGGGGTTGTTCTTTGTTTTTTGGGTTTGTTTGTTTTTTTTTGCTTGTAACTTTGTTTAAGGTCCTTATGGATTCTTCATATTAGACCTTTTGTCATATACATAGTTTGCAAATATTTTCTCACATTCTGTAGGCTGTCTGTTTACTCTGTTTATAGAGTCTTTTGCTATACAGAAGCTCTTACATTTAATTAGATCTCATTTGTCAATTTTGCTCTTATTGCAAAAAGAGCAATAATTGTTTGGTGTCTTTTGGCATCTTTGTCATGAAATTTTTGCCAGGGTTTATGTCCAGAATGGTATTTTCTGGGTTATCTTCCAGGGATTTTATAGTTTTAGGTTTTACATTTAAATCTTTAATCCATCTTGAGTTCATTTTTGTATATGGTGTAAGGAAGGGGTCCAGTTTCAATCTTCTGCATATGGCTAGCCAGTTATCCCAGCACCATTTATTGAATAGGGAATCGTTTCCCCATTGCTTGTTTTTGTCAGCATTGTCAAAGATCAGATGGTTGTAGGTTTGCAATGTTATTTCTGGGCTCTCTATTTTGTTCCTTTGGTTTCTTGTATCTGTTTTTGAACCAGTACCATGCTGTTTTGATGATTGTAGCCTTACAATATAGTTGTGATGCCTATGGCTTTGTTCTTTTTGTTTAGGATTACCTTTGCTATTCAAGCTCTTTTTTGATTTCATATGAATTTTAAAATAGTTTCTTCTAATTCAGTGAAGAATGTCATTGGTGGCTTGATAAGATTAGCATTAAATCTATAACTTACTTTGGACAGTGTGGTCATTTTAGCAGTTTTAATTCTTCCTACCAATGAGCATGGAATGTTGTTCCATTTGTTTATGTCTTCTCTGATTTCTTTGAGAGGTGTTTTGTAATTCTCATTGTAGAGCTCTTTCACTTCTTTGGTTAACTATATTCCTAGATATTTTATTCTTTTTAGGTTATTGCTTCACATGTAATTAACTATAAAATTTTGAACAAAAATTCCCCTGGGATGGATATCATTCTGTCCCTCTGCACATTCTTTAATAGGAAGCCTATGAAAACATGATGTGGCCAAAGACTCTATTTTAATCCTGTTGTACAACAATTTTATTGTTTCAGGGTCTTGCCTTCAGCTCACTCAGGTATATTCCCTAAGACAAAGATTATTTTAAAGACAATAAATTAGAAGGAGCAGAAATCCCTCTAGAATGCTCCTTTTCACCTACTAAGCCCCTGAACTATTATCTACATGTAGTAACTCAGGTCTCAGAGGAGTCAAAAGAATAAACCTCCGGAGGTCCCCTCTAATGTCAGCAAGTTTTTTCTCTCTTCGCTGAATTTGGGTTAGTCCTGCCCATCTGGCCATTAAATTCCAGACCCCCTGAAGAGAATCGGCATCTCCTGACCTAGGTCTGAACATTCCTACTGCTGGCTCCTCACCTCTCTTCCTTCTTCAACCTCAAGGTAAAATGACTGGAAGGGCCACTTAGGTTTAGGTTGGGTTTGAGCACAGGAATTAACAATCATTTCTGTTCTACTGAATTCCCAGAATGATGAAGGAGATTCTCTCACTTACCCAAAGAGCATGGACTACTCTAGGTAATGGGAGGTAAAAACATGGGACCCCAAATAAAAGCATTAAGGAGACAGTCCTCTCAGACCCAATTATGACCCCCTTTCCAGAATCACCACAGTAGTTTTCAGGTCCAGGAACAGATTAGGACTGAGTGTATACATTTTTTAAAAGTCAGTGGCTGGCCGGGCACGGTGGCTCATGCCTGTAATCCCAGCACTTTGGGAAGCAGAGGCAGGCGGATTAGGAGGTCAGGAGATCGAGACCATCTTGGCTGACACGGTGAAACCCTGTCTCTACTAAAAATACAAAAAATTAGCCAGGCATGGTGGCGGGCACCTGTAGTCCCAGCTACTCCGGAGGCTGAGGCAGGAGAATGGCATGAACCTGGGAGGTGGAGCTGGCAGCGAGCCGAGATCGCGCCACTGCACTCCAGCGTGGGTGACAGTGCGACACTCCGTCTCAAAAAAAAAAAAAAAACTCAGTGGCATAGGAAAAGCCAACAGCCAAAGAGACAAAGAATGATAATTATCCAAGCCCATATTGAGCCTCTAATAGGCATCAAGCATTGTACCAGGTATTATATTTAAAAATCAAGACAATAGAATAAAAAATTTCTGCCATCCTGTATCTTACACAGTAGTAAAGACAAATGGCTAAAGAAAAAGTCAAATTTGAACCAAGTCTAGAGTGTTGAGTAGAATTGGGGGAAAAAAATGCAAATAAGTTTGTATGGCAGGTGAAATAATGTATTTGCAAATGAATTGAGGCAGCAATGACTGTAAGTGAGCCGTAAAAAGGTGACAAGAGCAGGCCAGCATGAGCATTTATTTGGGACAATAGTTGACAATAGAATTACAGAAGCACATATTTTGATCAGTAACCCCGGAATCAATCTATTTACTTATGCATTTAGTAAATACCTTCTACAGACCAAAACTAGGTCCTGAGGAGGCAAGGAGAATTTAAACATAGAACAAATGAGTAAAATGTTCCCATGGCAGAAAACAGGGCCAGCAGGGGACTGTAATGACACAAGAAAACAAAGCAGAATTCGGAAACAAAGACAGGGACATCACAGAAGATTTCATAGAAGGAAATGAGACTGATCCAAGTATTAAAGGATAAGTAGGACTCTAGCCAGTTAATGCGAGAGAAAGACAGAGAAACGAGCATGTACCAAGAAACCAGCCTTGAATATGTGCTTCTCCCCACCCCCTCTTTTTTTGGTCATTCTTTCATTTTTTTAAATTTATTATTACTATTAGTTTGGTTTAAGAAATCATAATTATATACATTTATGAGGTACAATTATGTGATGTTTTGATACATTTATACAATGTGGCATGATTAAGTCAGGCTAATAAGATATCCATCACCTCACCTACCTATCATTTCTATGGTGAGACATTTGAAATGTACCCTCAGTCATTTTGAAATACATAGTACACTATTATTTACTATAGTCATTCTGCTGTGCAATAGATCTCAAAGCCTCTTCCTCCTCTCTATCTGAAACTAGCATGTGCTTTTTAAACGTTGGAACAAGTGGTGAAGAGAATGAGGTTGGTGAGGAGGAGGCATGGGGTGACATAGAGGACAAGTCAGAGATGGCTCCAGGTATCACATGCTGCTCTTTGGAGGGTCCGTATGGGCTTTAAAATAATTGAATGATAAAATGAGGATTGCAATTTCTGAAGATTATTCAAGCAGGTAAGCATGAAGAATGGATTAGATTAGGTGTCTGTCGAAACAAGATATCTCAAAGATATGTAAGAATTCTAACATTATGGCAACAAGGGGATGGCAAAAGGTGTCCATTTAACTCGCTCTTGAATTTCATGAAGTAGTCTTCTTTTTGCGCTATTCCCAAAAGTTGGTGGCCCAGCCAAAAGCAAATTACTTTCAATGGTGTTGCACAGAGAAAATCCTAATAAATCCTTCAAAGAGAGTGTTCTATAACAAGTCTCCAGACTCCCCTCCCAAACACTCCAGTGTGTCAATTTAAAATCCAATTTGAAAAGGTTATCTCCCCTGAATCTAAAATAAAAGTTGAAAAATAAAAAGAAAGGAACAAATAAGTTACATAAGCAAACAAAAAACAAGCAAACGACAACAACAAAAAAAGAGGTGGTTTAACAGTATAGAATGCATAGCTTTACTAGATTTTTATATGAATGGTATTTTTACTATTGAAAACAGTTCATTAGGTTTTCTCATAATTTCTCTATTGCTTTATTTATTTAAAATGTGTAATCAAAGAAAACTTTTCATAGAACCTTCTAAACTGAATGCAGAAAAAGAGAGAGAGAGAGAGATTGTCAGAATTTTATTGCACATGCAATTTCCCAACCAGCTTTCCCCTATCCTGTAATGGAGCAATTGAATTTTAAAGCAGCATCCTATTTAAGTTTTATCTTTTTTACTCAGAATCAGCTTCTTGATTGTTGGGGTGATGTGCATGAGCGGTCCCTGCCAGCTTTGCATCATCATAGATTTGCATCTCTTTTATGAGGCAGTGGAGTGAAAGGGCCTAGCCTCTGGCCTGAGTGTCATCTCCAGCTATGTCATGGTGGAGCTCTGCCCTGCCTTCCGGCCTGAGTGTCGTCTCCAGCTGCATCATGGTGGAGCTGTGCCCTGGCTTCTGGCCCGAGTGTCGTCTCCAGCTGTGTCATGGTGGAGCTCTGTCCTGACTTCTGGCCTGTGTGTCGTCTCCAGCTGTGTCATGGTGGAGCTCTGTCCTGGCTTCTGGCCCGAGTGTCGTCTCCAGCTGTGTCACGGTGGAGCTCCGCCCTGGCTTCTGGCCTGAGTGTTGTCTCCAGCTGTGTCATGGTGGAGCTCTGTCCTGGCTTCTGGCCTGAGTGTCCTCTCCAGCTGTGTCACAGTGGAGCTTTGTCCTGACTTCTGGCCTGAGTGTCGTCTCCAGCTGCGTCATGGTGGAGCTCTGTACTGGCTTCTGGCCCGAGTGTTGTCTCCAGCTGTGTCATGGTGGAGCTCTGTCCTGACTTCTGGCCTGAGTGTCGTCTCCAGCTGCGTCATGGTGGAGCTCTGTACTGGCTTCTGGCCCGAGTGTCGTCTCCAGCTGTGTCATGGTGGAGCTCTGTCCTGACTTCTGGCCTGAGTGTCGTCTCCAGCTGTGTCATGGTGGAGCTCCGTCCTGGCTTCTGGCCCGAGTGTCGTCTCCAGCTGTGTCACGGTGGAGCTCCGCCCTGGCTTCTGGCCTGAGTGTCGTCTCCAGCTGTGTCACGGTGGAGCTCTGTCCTGGCTTCTGGCCTGAGTGTCGTCTCCAGCTGTGTCACGGTGGAGCTCTGTCCTGACTTCTGGCCTGAGTGTCGTCTCCAGCTGTGTCATGGTGGAGCTCTGTCCTGGCTCCTGGCCCGAGTGTCATCTCCAGCTGTGTCATGGTGGAGCTCTGCTTTCTCTTGCAACTTTCCTAATCTCTCTGTGCTTCAGTTTCCTCTGCATCGACTGTGTATATTTCCCATTTATTTAGCACCAAGTTATAGTGCAAATAATGTATAAACTGTGATAATTCTTGCTCTAGAAGTGGGAAAATCGAGGCTCAGCTGGAAGCTAACTAAATTGCACAGGGCTCAACAACTGTTAAAATGTAGGTGGTAGTATTTGGAACACGGCAACATAATTTCTGCTCTTCCCACACTGATTCTTGCATGCTGTTATGGTTTTGCTTGTTTTTTGTTTATTATTTACAAAAAATAATCATTTTTAGAGTGAAGAAATAATCAGTTTCAGCATGCCTTCTATTCCCATATATTAAAGCATTCAATCATCTCCAAATCCTAGGAGGTGAATGTTATTTCTTGCCTTTTTGTGCAAGAAGGCTGAGGCTCAAAGTGCTGATACTTCTTGCCCTAAGTATGTAGTGTGTCTGTGACACAGATCCAGAGATATATACTCTGGATACAAATACTGTGCTCATCCCCATAAACCAGATGCCCCAACCATGTCCATGGTGCCCACAACATCCAAAGCCACATCCTGCAAATCATGCTATTTTTCATGTTTGTTTGGAGTTACCTACATTTGCTACTACCACTCACACTTTCTCAAAATGCTTATAAAATTACAAGATTATGTATTTAGTTTCTCCTCTAGGTCTCCCCAGAGTTTATCACAAACTTAGTCAATGTTTAATTCCAGGATTCTGCTTTCACGCACCACCACGCCCAGCTAGCTTTGTTTGTTTGTTTGTTTTTGTATTTTTAGTAGAGATGGGGTTTCACCATGGCCAGGCTGGTCTTGAACTCCTGACCTCTTGTGATCTGCCCGCTTCGGCCTCCCAAAGTGCTGGGATTACAAGCGTGAGCCATTGCGCCCGGCCGATACTTTCTCTGACAGGAATTTTCCATGACTATAAACATTTACAAGTTAATTGAAGATGTTGTGCTGTGATATCTATGAATCTAAAGAATTAAACACATGTTCAGTGCAAGGCGCTTCTTCCTAATTGCTTGACAATATAGTGCTGAAATGCTCTTCTAGAACTCATTTTTCTTTTTGTTTTTTGTTTTTTGTTTTTGTTTTTGTTTTTTTGAGACGGAGTCTCGCTCTGTCGCCCAGGCTGGAGTGCAGTGGTGCGATCTCGGCTCACTGCAAGCTCCGTTTCCCAGGTTCACGCCATTCTCCTGCCTCAGCCTCCCAAGTAGCTGGGACTACAGGTGCCCACCAGCACGCCTGGCTAATTTTTTTGTATTTTTTAGTAGAGACGGGTTTCACCGGGTTGGCCAGGATGGTCTCCTTCTCCTGACCTCCTGATCTGCCCACCTCGGCCTCCCAAAGTGCTGGGATTACAGGCGTGAGCCCCCACGCCCAGCCTGAACTCACTTTTCTAAATAAGATTATAGTTAGCAATTATTCTACTTCTTCCTTGTGTGTTTTTATTTCTGCATTAAAAAAAGATACTTTTTGTAGCATTTTCTAAAAACTTAACTCATAGTTTTAGTTTTTTCAGCCTTAAGAAATTATGTTTCCAAATTCATGCTATTTGTTTTCTGAAACTAGTTCATATGCTCCCCTGGGTGAGATTAAAAGTTCTTCAAAATGTGGAACAAATGAAAACATTTGCTGTGTATCCAGACTTTATGTTACATAATGATTTGTTTTTAATGAAATGAAAAGGATAGAAGAATGAATGCGGTAGAGAGAGACAACATGATGAAGGCGGTGCATTCGCCTGGTTGGGCTGCCGTAACAAATTACCACCATGGCGTAAAAAATAGAAATTTATTTTCTCACAGTTCTGGAGGCTGAAAAGTCCAGGATGAAGTTTCTGTCAGGATTTGGTTTCTGGTGAGGATTCTCTTCCTGGCTTGCAAAAGACCGCCTTATTTCTGTGTCCTCACATGGTGGGGAGGAAGAAAGAATATGAAAGATAGAGAGAGGGAGACAGAAACACAGAGCGTGTGAGCAAGTGAGAGAGAGCACTTCCTCTTCTAATAAGGCCACAGTCCTATTGAATTAGGGTGCCACCTTCATTTTCTCATTTAACATGAATTACCTACCAAAGATCCTGTCTCCAGATGCAGTCACACTGGGGGTTAGCGCTTCAGCATATGAATTTTGGGAGCCACAATTCAGTCCATAGTAGATGACAATGGAGTGTGAAGATAAAATCAACCTGCTAGTTGTGTCAGACTGACTTCTGGGTGGAAAGCCGGAGTACCATGGGGAGTACCATACAATAAGGACAATAGTAGTGCTGCTGTCAAGTAGTGACACTGAGCATTGTATAAAATGTCTGGGAACAGATGTTCTTTGTTCATGCAAGCTTTGCTTCTAAGCATGAAACTTAAAAGTTAATTCTTCAGGAAATTGTGCTAATTAAGGTCCACAATACATTTATTCTCTACAGAAGTTTAAGACGTAAGGAAATTCCCAAAGGCAAGGTTATATTTACTTAATCAGCCAGTTTTTAGATATACATATATGGGTTTAAATATATAATTACGTTACAATAATATATAAACATATATATTTAAGCATATATATGTGTGTTTATATATATTATTTAAACATAATTTAAAAGCCAAAGGGTGGTGAAATTATATGGAATAAAATTATTCTACATCTCCATTAAAATTCTATTTGGAACCATATCCACAAAGTTGAATCGTGTTTAATGGCAAATCTTGAGAAAACTGTCAACACAAAAGCCTTTGAGTAGGAAGAGGATTTGGTGAATGATTTCCTTTTGTTTAGAAAGAAAAGAGGTATATTTAGAGAATGGCTACATCAAACTATTGAATTATTCAGCTATTTATTCTAATTTCATATCTTCTAGTTATCGCCACATGAGAAATTATGAATATTTTTTGATGCAATACAGAGGATTTCATATATATTTCCTAAAACTAGACTCTGAGTGTTTGCAATGTGAAGCTGTATTTGTTAGAGCACTGAGAAAAATTGCTCATTAAAAGTTATACATTATGTTTTTCATAAACAGTTGAAAATGCTTACAACTTCATAATAGTCTCATCAATCTTGTTATAATTAATACTGCAGGTATATAAAAACTGAGTGGATTCTACATTTTTTTAATGGGGTTGGCATCCACACATAACTCTGTGACCTAACAGTATAAGGGCAAAAATGCAAATTTGTTATATCCAAATAAAACCTGTGGCTAGAAGAATGAAGAACTGGGACAAGAAATATGTAGTGGCTTTTGCTAGTTTTCACATTCTTCAAAATATTGAAGTCTCAAGCTTGTGTAGGAGTACTGAGCCTAAAACTGCAATTAAAAGATTAGTTCAAGTTGTAACTAATGACAATCACTCTGATTTTGAAATCTAGAAAGAAAATCTGCCCATCTGTCTAAGAATCTCTCTCTCTCTTACAATCAATCTTACTCATCCTATTTCAAAAAAACAAAAAAAGGCCATGAGTCTTTCTAAAAGACATTAGTGTGATAAACACCCATAAAACTGACACTTCAGTTGTTATGAGTTATTATGTGACAACTCCTCATCATGACCCATCCTGGTAAAATTTTGCAATATGAAATGAGATGAGAAGTATGAGCACACTAATAATGGAAATGTATTTGATCCGTGTGGTACTCAGCATTTTAAAACTATACCACAACAGTAACTGCCTCTCTGGCCTAGTTGGGAGATAATTTCATAACTTTGGAGGGTAGAACAAAGGTGATTTCCCCAAGCACAGTAAATGAGTCAGGGGAAACGAGCTGTCCTCACAATTAAGTGGTGGTGAGCTGAGGATGGGTGGAAAGCCAGGGTACCATGAGGAGTACCATACAATAATGACAATGGTAGTGCTGCTGTGAAGTAGTGACACAGATCATTGTTATAAAATGTCTGGCAACAGGCGTTCTTTTTTCATGCACGCTTTGCTTCTAAGCATGGAACTTAAAAGTTACTTCTTTAGGAAATCGTGCTAATTAAGGTCCACAAGACATTTATTCACCACAGAAGTTTAGGAAGTAAAGAAATTTCACAGCCGAGTGCGGTGGCTTACGCCTGTAATCCCAGCACTTTGGGAGGCCGAGACTGGCGGATCACAAGGTCAGGAGTTCGAAACCAGCCTGACCAACATGGTGAAACCCCATCTCTACTAAAAATACAAAAATTAGCCAGGCGTGGTGATGCGTGCCTGTAATCCCAGCGACTCAGGAGGCTGAGGCAGGAGAATCATTTAAACCTAGGAGGCAGAGGCTGCCGTGAGCCAAGATTGCACCACTGCAATTCCAGCCTGGGTGACAGAGCGAGACTCCATCTCAAAAAAAAAAAAGAAATTCCTTACTTCTTGAGATATTGGTAGGTCATTCAAGAGGAAATCTCCTCTAAGTGGTAGAAATTTTGAATGGAAATAAAATTATACATCTTAGATATCCCCAGCCTACAAATAAGAAATAGCACAATTTTGGAAAGAATGGGGAGGGACACAAAGAAAAACAAAAGAGAAGGAAAGGAAGGGAAGATGAAATACAGAAGAAAGAAAGAAAAGTATAAAGAGAGAAGACCATAGAGCAATGCTTCTTAGTCACCTTCAGGAAAGGTTAAAGAACACTTTTTCATTGTGAAGTGGAAGAAAAGTGATTGTGAAGCGGGAGTGGGGAAGGAGAAGTAACCCGCGAAAGTTGAAGCAAAGCATCTATAGTATCTCTCAAACGTGGTTTTTCGGTTTCCTTGTAATACTTTTCCTGCAGCATTTGGGAATTTCAGAAATTATTTTACTTTAGGATGAAAGATGACAGAGGATAGTAGCCAACTCGTTTCTGATCTTAAAACTTGGTGGGGAGCGGGGGGAATGGAAATAGGTTCTTAGTAAGCAAGTCTTGCCAGTACTGTGTGCCCTGAATATCTGACATATTCCCCAGGGCGGAATGAGGAAGAAGAGGCTGCAGAGGCAGCAACACACGGGATTTCAACAGAATCAGATAACTGGAATTGCAGAGTAACCAGAGCCCAGAGTAAAACCAGTAAACCATGAAGATATGAAATGGCAGCTCGTTTCACACTGAAATCACTGCCATGTCAAGAAAATTCACTAGGATTTCACCACTGTATAGCTTGAGGAGGAAAGAGTCCTGCCACTATAAAAGATGAGTACAGCCCGGGCTCACGCCTGTAATCCCAGCACTTTGGGAGGCCGAGGTGGGTGGATCACCTGAGGTCAGGAGTTCAAGACCAGCCTGGCCAACATGGTAAAACCCTGTCTCTACTAAAAATAGAAAAATTAGCTGGGCATGGTGGCGGGCGCCTGTAAGCCCGGCTACTCCGGAGGCTGAGGGAGGAGAATCGCCTGAATCTGGGGAGCGGAGCTTGCAGTGAGCCGAGATCGCGCCACTGCACTCCAGCCTGAGCAACAGAGGGGGACTCCGAAAAAAAAAAAAAAAAAAAAAAGATTAGTATGATCTTACCCAGCCCACGTAAAGGGATTTCCCTCCATTTCTCACAGTAATAAAGCAAGGTACGTGAAAACTACATGATATTACCCATTTCTTTGCATACTAATATATGCCATATAATATATAATGCATAAAATAATATACATTATATATAATTAATACATCATTTATGATTGATTTAATACATAATGTAGCATATAATTTATATCGCTTATTTTTAAGCTAAATACTGTAACATTTTTAAAGTTCCATTTTATTTTTAAATCAAATAACTACATATTTATGAATTACAATGCGATATTTTGATATATGTGTATACATTGTGGAATGATTCAATTAGCATATCCATCACCTCAAATATTTATTATTTCTTGAGATGAGAACATTTAAAATCCCCTCTTTTAGCTTTTTTTTTTTTGGAAATATGCAATATATTATTCTTTTTTCTCTCTCTCTTAAATAGAAATGGGAGTTGTGGGGGAGGCCTCACCATGTTGCGCAGGCCGGTATCAAACTCCTGAGCTCCAGCGATCCACCTGCCTCAGCCTCCCAAAGTGCTGGGATTACAGGTGTGAGCCACCACACCTGACCAGAAATATACAATATATTATTCTTAACTATAGACACCTTGCTGTGCAATAGCATACTTCTCAATAAACCATGGTACTGAGGATCCTGGAAGAAATCTCTTTCTCAAAAAAAAGTAAATCTCATTCTTAATTGGCAAAGAATTAATAATAAGGTCCAAACTTATATTTTAGTATGTTCACCTTTGACTAGCTTTTCAGCACAAGAAATAACTCTTTTGTGAAACAGGAAATATGTATTCACAGCTACTATTGGCCCTTGATTTGTAACATATAATTTAATTATAAAATTTACTTTTTATCTGAAAATCCACTGAATTTCTTTTTGAATAAATCACTGTGTTAAATATGCATCCCTGTGATGTCCTTCTAAAGTCTGGATGCTAATTCTAAAGTAAATACTGTAGAGAGACGAGAAATAGAGAAAAGTTAAACTTTTATGCATATAATTTACTTTTATATTATATGATATAATTTGTCATATAAAGGAGCACATATTTTATTTGCACATATGTATATAATTCTATAAGCATGGAGAACTCTATTGAAGAACACTAGTATATGTTTGTTTTCAGGGCTGAGGAAGACAGAGTGTTCCGGAGAAACAGTTCTTGAGCAAAGAGAGAGAAAGGTAAGTCTAGAAATCTGGAGAGCCCCCGATTTTGCTCAAAGGACTTTTGACACTTGGACAGCATTTTTCACTGGTTTACCACTTCTTCCATTTCTGCAAAGCCCTAGTTCATAAACACCATAAAACAAGGTATAATAGTAATAAAGCTTCAAACGACAAAGATTCTGCACAGCAAAGGATACAGTTAACAAGATGAAAAGGTAACCTATGGATTGGGAAAAAATACCTGATAAGGGGTAAACACTCAACATTTATAAAGAACTCTTACAACTCAAAACTAAGAGAATATATAACTCAATGAAAAATGGGTAAAAGGCCTGAATAGATACTTTACCAAAGAAGACATACGAATGACCAACAGGTATATGAAAAGTTGCTCAATGTCACTAGTCATCAGGGAAATGCAAATCAAAACTACAGTGAGATAATGCTTCACATCTGTTAGGATTGCTATTATCAACAAGTCAAGAGATAAGAAGTGTTGATGAGGATGTGGAAAGGGGGAGCCCTGCACACTGTGGGTGGGAATGTGGATTGGGCAGCCATTATGGACCACAGTCTGGAGAAGTTAAAAACAAAACTCCTACATGATCCAGCAATCCCTCTTGTGGGTGTATACCTAAAGAAAATGAAGTCACCACCTCATAAAGATTTCTGCTTTCCTATGTTCATTGTGGCATTATTCACAATAGCCACGGAATGAAGACAACCTAGGCATCTGTCTATGAATGAATAGACAAACTCTGAGCTGGCCAGCTAGATAGCTAGATAGATACAAGCATCTCACTGCCTTAAAAAGGAGATGCCACTCTCCACACTTCTGGCTTCATATTAACAACTGATATGCTCTCTTTCACTATGGTTTTGATAGGGACAGGAGGCAGAGAAATTCTAGGCAGAAAAGGGTGGGGTCCCTGGCAAAGCCCCACCCTCAAGCCTAGAACCATGGCCCAAAGTGAGAACATCCCCATTTTTCTGCTCAAATGTTGCCTTTTCCAAAACCCCCGTGGCTCGCCCTGCCCCCCATTCTGTACCCATAAAAACCCCAGGCTCCACTGGCAGAGGAACGGCAGAAAAGAAGAGAAGAGAAGAAGCAGCCAGATGTCAGAGAAGCAGCTTGACTTCAGAGGGATAGCTTGACAGTGGGACTTCAGAGAGGAGCCTGGCCAGGGAAAGCCAGACTCCAGGGGATGACCACTTTCCCACTCCAACCCCTTTCCAGCTCCCCTTCCCACTGAATGCCACTTTCATCAACAATAAAATCCTCTGTATTCACCACCCTCCAAAGAAAAAAAAAAAAAGAAGGAAATGCTGCCATTTATCCATAATTTGAATAGACCTGGAGGATATTATGCTAAGTGAAATAAGCCAGACACAAAACTAAATATACTGCATGATCTCACTTATATGTGGAATCTGAAAAAAAGGTCAAATATACAAATCGAGAGAATAAAACAGTGGTTGGGGTTCAGGTAATGGAGAAAGGTAGATGAAAGGATACAAAGTAGCACATACGCAGAATGAACAAGTTGGAAGATCTAATGTACAGCATAACTTAAGGACTAGAGTTAATAACAGTGTATTGTATTCAGAATTTTTGCTGAGTAGATTATAGTTGCTTTTCTCCTTTTGCCATCAGCTGGCACAGATAATATGAGGTGATGGCTATGGTCAGTATTTATCATCATCTATTAGAAATGTATTTGATGGGTGGAAAGCCAGGGTACCATGGCTTTTCAAAGCATTCTTTGCTGTCCTTTCTTTTCCTTCTTAATCTTTCTCACAGCTATACTTCATGGTTATGCAACGATTTGCTTACTGTCTCTTTTTCTACACCATTCTGGTAGCTCTGCATGGGCCCAAATACTTTCTTATAGCTTTATTTGGATATAATTTGCATATGACAAAATTTATTCATTTTAATACTCAGTTTGATGAGTTTTGCTAAGTGTAAGCAGCCATGCAACTACCATTCCAGACAATTAGTAAAACACTTCTATCACTCCAAAGTTTCCTTGAGGGCACAAATAATTCCATTTACACTACATCTCACCATTAGTCACAGCACATGGCACATCATAAGAATTTCTTGGCCGGGCACGGTGGCTCACACCTGTAATCCCAGCACTTTGGGAGGCCAAGGAGGGCGGATCATGAGGTCAGGGGTTCAGGTCCAGCCTGACCAACATGGTGAAACCCCATCTCTACTAAAAGTACAGAAATTAGCTGGGCATGGTGGCAGGCGCCTGTAATCCTAGCTACTCGGGAGGCTGAGGCAGGAGAATCGCTTGAACCTGGGAGGCGGAGGTTACAGTGAGCCAAGATCACACCACTGCACTCCAGCCTGGGAAACACAGCCAGACTCCATTTCAAAAAAAAAAAAGAATTTCTTAAATATTTGTCGATGGGTGAATGGAAGGAAAGAAAGCAAGAAGGAAAGTGTGGACTGCCACTTACTAAGTTTTGTACCAGGAATCATACCAATATATTTGCATATATTATTTCAGTTATTCTTATATCAATCCAGTGGTCAGAAATTATGATTTCTATTGTACTGGTAAGGAAACCGAGCCTCAGAAGACTTATGTAACTCATTTAAGGTCCCAAGCTTAATACGTGAGGCCTGGGATTTGAATCCAGTTCATTTGGCTGCAAACACCCATTTTTCACCACTTCCATCTATTGGACTTATGTTAAATAAATATCAGCCTAAATATATTCCTTGTGGATATCAGTGTGATTCTTTCTTTTCTTTACTCAAATCCTAACCACAGCTGAAATAACATGTAATTCTAGAAATACAGGCAATCCATATCACGCCTGCCTTCTCCACAGGGAACCCCCCCAGTTCACACCAAGCAGAGCAAGTCTTCTCTTTTCTCATTCTAGAATGCCTGGAAATATAAAACGTTTTTTGACTCCTGGCTGCCTTCATCTTCAATGTCCACTGACTGTAGCTGCATTAAGTATTTATCATCATCTATTTGATCATTAAATTTATCCATTTGTTTGTTTTTCAATTGTTAATCTGTGACATTGATGTCAACACAGACTGCTTTAGATCACATTCTTCTAGAGGTTGGAATTACTAATATCTGTGCTTTATTATATCTTATAACACAATCATATTACAAAAGAAATCTCAGAAAATCTTCCTGAAATCACTGCCAGAATTGAGTTCAGTTTCCTAAGACATAAAACCCAGATCAGTGCTGTGAATAAGATGGAAGCTTATTACTTTTATGTCAAAGAAACTGGAGGTCAACAGTTCACGGCACCTCTTTGACCATCAAATATCAAGTACCCTGGCTCCTTCTCAATGTTCTACCATTCTTTTTTTTTTTTTTTTTTTTTTTTTTTTTTTTGATGGAGTTTTGCTCTTGTTGCCCAGCTTGGAGTGCAATGGCATAATTTCGGCTCACTGCAACCTCCGCCTCCTGGGTTCAAGCGATTCTTCTGCCTCAGCCTCCCAAGTAGCTGGGGTTACAGGCATGTGCCACCATGCCTGGCTAATTGTTTGTATTTTTAGCAGACACGGGGTTTCTCCATGTTGGTCAGCCTGGTCTCAAACTCCCAAACAGGTGATCCACCTGCCTCAGCCTCCCAAACTGCCGGGATTACAGGTGTGAGCCACCATGCCTAGCCTGTTCCACCATTCTTAATATGTGACTTGCTTCTTTAAGATTGCTTTAAGATCAAATATGGCTGCTAGGGCGCTAGCCATCAAGACTACGTTCCATGCACAAAAATAGAGAATGGAGGATTGGCTAATATTTTTCCAAGCTTTCCCAGTAATTTTATCTCATTAGCTTCCCCTATCTGTTAGAAAGCCTGGAAAATATCATCACATCACAGAGTACCTTGCTGCATGGAGTAAAAGGGGGTGCCAACAATAAGAGTGGGAGAACAGATATTTGAAGAAAGATGATCAAGACGAGAATTAGCACAATTCCAGTGGGACCCTGTGTCAGTCTCAGTCGTGGGAGTTTCCAACTACAATTGCATCTGGGTTTTCTCAGCACAAAACTGTTTATTCCACCTTTCTTCCCCCAACTGCAGAGATATGGAAGCCTCTCCACTTCTGGAAATTATCCCAGCTGGATAACAAGACAGTGTCTAAGGCCGGGCACGGTGGCTCACACCTGTAATCCCAGCACTTTGGGAGGCCGAGGCAGGCGGATCACCTGAGGCCAGGAGTTCGAGACCAGCCTGGCCAACATAATGAAACCCCGTCTCTACTAAAAACACAAAAAATTAGCCAGGTGTGGTGGTGGGTGCCTGTAGTCCCATAGACTCGGGAGGCTGAGGCAGGAGAATCACTTGAACCCAGGAGGCAGAGGTTGCAGTGAGCCGAGATCGCACCACTGCACTCCAGCCTGGGAGACAAGAGTGAAACTCCGTCTCAAAAAAAAAAAAAGTGTCTAAGATGTCCCTGGTGCCTCATCTGGCTCTCCGTGGGAGAGAGTACAAGAGAGCATGCTTAGAATCAGGGACAGCTCCCACTTCTTCGCCAAAGCACAGTCGCCCCATCTTCTTCTGGGACATATTCTCTCCTCCCTCCATCCCCAGAAGGTAAAAATAGAGCCCTAACTCATGGCCATGACTCACCCTGTGTCCACTTAGACATCTAAAGCTAGAGAAAAAAGACGATCGAGTCAAAACCTAGAGAGGGAGAGTAACTGCACCAAGGTGCTGCTATTCACAGTGGTTCCCATAGCAGCATTTAATCACATGAATTGTAGCTCATGAATTAAAATTTGCGCTACAAGAATTCTATTTGGCCATAAAAAAAATGAAGTCATATCTTTGCTGCAATGTGGATGGAATTGGAGGACACTATCTTAAGCCAAACAACTGAGGAACAGAAAGTCAAATACCAGATGTTCTCAGTTACAAGTGGGAGCTAAATTATGTGTCCACAGGGATGCAGAGGATGGAGTAAGAGACCCTGGAGACTAGGGTGGGTAGGACGGTGTCAGGGGGTGAGGGAGGAGAAATTACGTGGGGTAAAATGTACGTTATTCGGGTGATAGTTACGCTAAATGCCCAGATTTCACCACTGCACAATATATCCGTGTAACAAAATTGCACCAGTAGCCCTTAAATTTATACAGATAAGAAAATAAAAGAATAAATAAAATAAAATGTGCACTACTTCTTGCGGCCTGTCTTAAGAAAGATTTTTTTTATCCCCTCCATGTGAAAAATATAATAGGGTGCTGAGACAATATATCAACAACAACAACAACAAAAAGCCCTCAACATGTATCACTCTGTGCCACTCATTGTTCTGAGTGCTTTACAAGAAACAATTCATTCCACCCTTGTAACAGACTGTGCAAAACAATACTAATGTTTCTTGTATTTTTAAGAAAACACAAGTGAGGCACAGATAGGTTAAGTAACCTGCTCAAAGACACATGGCATGAGTGACCGAGCCTGGTGTTGAAGCCAGTTCAGGTCTCATGCTTTACCTGAATCACACACTCTAGTTACTACTCCACTCTGATGTTACAGTAATCACCTCACCACGCACCAGCCCTAAAGAGTTCAACACACACACACACACACACCACACACCAGCCCTAAAGAGTTCAACACACACACACACACACCACGCACCAGCCCTAAAGAGTTCAACACACACACACATACACACACCATGCACCAGCCCTAAAGAGTTCAACACACACACACATACACACACCAGCCCTAAAGAGTTCAACACACACACACACACCACGCACCAGCCCTAAAGAGTTCAACACACACACACACACGCCACGCACCAGCCCTAAAGAGTTCAACACACACACACACCATGCACCAGCCCTAAAGAGTTCAACACACACACACACACCACGCACCAGCCTTAAAGAGTTCAACACACACACACACACCACGCACCAGCCCTAAAGAGTTCAACACACACACACACACACACACACACACACACACACACACAGAGTTCTTATTCCCCATTATTGATCCATTTTCTCTGGTCTTCTGGGATTTGCCATTAATTGCAAGAACTCCAAGCTCTCACACCACCTCAATTATCAGCTAACCCCTTAGACACTAATTAAATAAAGCATCAGGGATAATTTCACAGCCAGAGGAGAGCAAGTTTTTACTCTCACGTCTGGGGAGAATGAGCAGGGCCCTTATAGAAAACAGTGGAGAGAATGAGGTCAAGTTAAATCTGAGGGATAATTTTGAAATGAACAGAGAGCGTGACACGGGCAAGGTGTGTTGCCTGAAAGCCTTATCCTCGGAAGTAACCTCCACCATGTCAAGGTACCTATAGGCACTCTGGGGGACTAAGGTTAAGGCAGTTCCACCGACCTCACGTACTGCCAAGGGAGAGTCCGGGAAACCCTGAGTCTCCCCAGCAAGCCTGTTGCAACGGACAGCAGACTCCTTCTAGACTGAGAATAATCTCTCAGACTTGCTCAGAGGGTTGGGTTCCAGTAAATGGTAAGGTCCCAGCAGCCCATCAGAGGAAATGTGCTGTGTGTTCCTGGAATATGAAGAGCATTTCTAGTAAGTCCATCCTTAAATGTCCCTCCGCGACTAAGGCCAACACAGACTGCAATATAGCCTTCAGTCCTAAAGCAAGTCTTCTGTAGGAGCCAGGAACCCTGGAGGTGAGTGATTCATCCTCAACTCCAGTCAAACTGAAATCTGTACAGTGCAGTGGAGGTGCAGGATGGGCAGTATTAACACTGGGCTATGCTGGAGACCAAGGGCACATGAGGTGGAGGATGGATGGGTCGATGAGCAATGGCCACGTATTAAGCAGCAAGTGTAAAATTGTGTTGTGTGGTTTTATCTAGAAAAGAGAGCCGGGAGCAGAACAGGATGCTCTGCCTGGAGGTAGGCACGCTGTCTGACACTCATCTGAACAGTGGACGCTGCACACAGTGTGTGGGGACGCTGAGTCCCTTTCCTCCGCTTCCTCCTATTTTTGAGGCTGCTGAATCACAGTCACAAGGGCAGTAGTGAGCTGAGCAGGGCCATGGAAAGAGAGAAAAAGAGAATGCAGAGCTGAATCGTATCAGTCCCCGAGAAAGCAAGCTTCAGGTTGAAAAATCTGAAAAAGTCAGACCACATAAAAAGGCGATGACGTGTGGTGGTGGTAGGGGGAGGCATGTGCAGAGGGGCTGACCCTGCCTGAGCCACGCGCTGAGGGCTGTGCAGCCGTATCCTCCCTCCCATAGGCCCATCACTGCTGGGTCCCAGCTCCTTCTCCTCCTCTTCCCTTCGTCCCCAGCACTAGAAGGAATAACTGACGAGGCTGAGGACTCTACCTACCTCCAGAATAAGAAGCTATTTGAGGGATGAGGCTTTTAGATTTGCTAACAAAATCAATAATCATTTTTGTGAATTAATTGCATTCCTCATGCTGTGAATGACATAATATGTAAGACATGTTCATGTTCTCATTAGTGGGACTTGAACAATGAGAACACATGGACACAGGGAGCGGAACATCACACACCGGGGCCCATCAGGGAGTGGGGGCTAGGGGAGGGAGAGCATTATGAGAAATACCTAACGTAGATGACGGGTTGATGGATGCAGCAAACAACCATGGCACGTGTATACCTGTGTAACAAACCTCCACGTTCTGCACATGTATCCCAGAACTTAAACTATAATTAAAAAAAAAAAAGAAAAAAAAGTAATTACAATCTCCCTAAAAAGTAAAAAATTAACATATTGGAAATGATTACCAAATGATACAGCAAATTTACAATTTTTCCATTAGGCGAGGTCTTTAATATTTTTCAGGTTTACAGGGTGTTTAACGAGGTCGTGCATGTAAAAGGGAAACTGGGCTGGGTGAGGTGGCTCACGCCTGTAATCCTAGCACTTTGGGAGGCCAAGGTGGGAGGATCACTTGAGCCTAGGAGTTCGAGACTAGTCTGGGCAATAGCAAGACCCCATCTCTATTTATTTTAAGTAAATATAAAATAAAGTTTTTTAAAGGGGAACTGTTTGTTACTTTTGAGAGTGACAGATTATGACATCCAGAGGCTTATGAGGAAGTAATTTCCCCTCCATGTGAACCGGCATTGGATTTTTAAATAGCTTACCCTGTGGACTCATACCCCAGTCCCTGAACGAGGTGAACTTCTTAATCTTTCTGAACCTCTCAGTTTTCCAGAGTTATTGAAATGGGATATGGGAAGGCTCATATGCGGTGCCTAGTGCACAGAGAACTGGTGGGTGCTCATTCAGTGTGCACTTACTTCCCTTCTCCTCTCAATGCTAAGAATTTGTTTAATCTTTCAAATTAAAGTGTTATGAAAAATTAGACCTCAGATCCACTGTGGCAATAGGCATATTCATGTCCTCAAACCCCTTTGTACTGTGGGAGCTACAGAAGATGATGAATAGTGTTAAATTAGTGAGGGCAGTTAAAGGAAAGAAACCGGGCTGTCCTGAAACCAGAGGTGGGACATGAAGGGAAGGGAAGAACGTAAGATTCCCAAGACATTCCTGCTATTCCCAGCAGGAGGATGTGCACTTCCCCAGTCCTGGCACAGGATGAGAAAGGACTGTGCATGCACAGGGACACTAACTACATTGCAGAGGCTGCTGAGTGACACTGAGAATAAAGATGAAGAGGTGGAGTTGAGGCTGGGCTTGTGTGCTCTCAAGCCCCTGTGCCAGCTAACGTCTCGATTGTACTTGTTAGACTCCTAAGAAAAAGCGTGCCATTGAACCAGGACTGCAAATGCAAACAAATAAGGAGAAAGGGGCTCTTAAATAAGGAGAAAGGGGCTCTTTCTCTTTTTGTGATGAAAGAGTCCGTGTTATTATCAGTTCAGGAAAATACTGCTATCATTAAGCCTTGTCCCCAAGACTCTCTTGAGTGTAATCCCAATGATGGCCTCCGCAGCTGAACAGGGCCTGGACCAGGCTATCCCGGTTGTGGGATGGGAGGCTGCATTCTAGACTGAAGAAAGAGACCCTTTGGACTAATAAGCAATAAAATCCTATGACCATGTTTCTGTTTGCCCATCTCATAAGCTACTTTCTAGGAATTCCACACACTGCTGTAAATTTGATTTTCCATCTTGTGTGATGGAGTAGGTAACAATGTGTTCCGTCAAGCTTCAGCAGAGATTTCAGCAGCAAATGTCAGGGATAAGAGGTAGATGATATAGATATAGAGATATAAATATTAATCATAAGGATTATATATCCTACAGGGAATGATATATATCTAAGGGTGTATCACAGCCTGCGTGTTCACAGCCTAGCCTGCCAGCAGCCCCCAGAAGAAACTGCGGGAATTCAGCGTGAACATGATACAATCAGCAGGTAACTCTTGAGCGACGGGTTCTTACGTTTTTGGTAATTGAAACACCTAAAGATATCTTTGCCTTAAGGCCTGAGTCTCAGAAAGATGACTTCGTGTGAGGGTGAGTGAGGGGTTGAAACTGCCTGCAGAGAGGCAGGTAGCAAGTTCCAAGAGGGGTCCTGGTGGGCGTTTCTGCCCAGGACGGCAGTGGTGAGGATACAGACAGTGCGTGCCTGCAACGATGCAACATTGTGGTGGGATCACAGCATTGTGTGGGTGTTGAATTCTTTAACTTCGGTGCTGAACTAGAGTGAATGAGGAGTAGAACATGAATAGAAAGAACCTCAGTACTTGGCATCACGGTGACTGAAGGGAACTCAGCCAGAATTAAGATGAAGGAGATGGTTTGAGTCTGGGGGGATGGCTGCCAGGTGAAATTTGGGATGCCTCAGTTCACAATGTCAAAAAGGGGGTTAGAGGTCAGTGAGGAACTGACAACTGTAGATACAGCCTGAGGGATTCCGTCTGAATGCGATGGCGATGTTTGTGGGAACTACTGTGTCCATCCAGGGAAGCAAGGCTGTGCCTTGAGGGGGCACCTGTACTTGGGTAGTGGGAAGATGAAAGAAGGTCAAGGAGTGCAGAGGCTAGACACCTACGAAAGCTCCGTGTGGAAACACCTGAACAGAAGGGCATCAGATCCAGGGCATGAGGGGCAGGGCTGGGCAGTGTCCAGCTTTGCCATTGAGAAACCGTGTGTGTGTGCGTGTGTGTGTGTGTGTGTGTGTGTGCGTGTGCACGTGCATGCATGTGTGTGCACGTGTGTACGTAAGTGTGCACATGTACAGTGGACTATAATTACAAGAAAACCACTCCTCTCTAATCCCTGCCCCTTTCTATCCTGTGACCTTCCTCTCCCTCATCTCCCCTTCCCAGGAACTTCTTTTGTCTCAGTCGTTTACGCGACTGCCCTTGCTGCTCCCCATGTCACCAGCTGCTCTTTTTTTAAAGCAAAGTTCTGGAGAGAATAGTAGTGAAGAGCAGGAGTTTGGCTTTCAGTCCTGGCTTTACCATTTGCTGCCGTGTAACTAAGGTAGACCAGCTGTCCTCCCGAGTCGCTCAGTCAATTAGGGGTGAAAACATGGACCTTGCTGAGATATTAAGGCAACATCAAGTTATTATTACAGTACCTGGCTCACAGTGAGTGGTAAATAACTTGTCTTTATTATAAATTGCCGCATACATTTACCCCTCTATCTTTCTTGCTTCCTTCATTCTCTCATTTCTTTCTTCACTATCCCTACAACTTCTCCCTTTTCTCCCAGTTTAGGCTCTGAAAAGAAACTCTGGAATCAGAAATCTCAGAAAGAGAAATGTCATAATTCCTTTACTTCTTAATAATTAGACTTAAAAATGTGCTAGCTTGACTTTGCTCGGCCACAGCTCACTGTTTTGACAGGCATCTTGAGCTCGTTAGAGATAAGATCACATTCTGTGAAGTTTATTTCATAAGTATTGTTGATAGAATCTGGGAGGAGATACGATAATTGAATGTTTCACAAGAATATTGGCAACTTTCTGACAAAACGTGTGTGGTTTTGAAACTAGAGAAGCAGGAGGGAAAAACTGAACTTATTCCTCCATTGAAACCCTGGAGTTTGAGTTGTTTTCCAGTAACAGTAGAGTTCTTCAGAACATCAACTGGGGCAGCAGGGAACACCTGTTGCAACATGTAAGCTGAGCAGATCTCCGTTAGTTTTACAGTCTATGCATAAGGTACCAAATCAAGAATAAAAATCCTTCATAAATTATCTGCTTACAGGATTTATTATGAATAATGATTAATTAATTATTGTTTATTAATAATATTTTTCAATCCTATCATGGAGCATAACATCCCCATCAGGAACTGGAAGGTGTGCAATGCTTGAGCGATTGTAGGAGGTGAGAAGCCAATGGTGCAGTCGAAAGGACCCACGAATCAGCAGGTGGCAACCCAGTTGCTTCCTAACAGCAATGGTTTCAGAAATCAAATTGGCTGTTTTCTATCACTGAGAGGTGACAGCTGCTCGGCAAAGAAATTGTGCAGGAAATTGGAATGTCACTCAAGCCATCAGATAAAACCTAGCCCTAGAGGGCAGTCTGATCTTTCCGTAGACAATTCCAGGGGCTACCTTTCTCACGCCAATCAAGAGCTTTCTCCCTGTGCTCAAAATTCCATGGTCTGGGGTCTCATTAACTACCATGACCTATTCAGGGGCTGAAGTAACGTATACCTTGGCTCTTCCACTCCAGAGACTCACAGGACCTAGAATTGTGCTGCTTTTACTGCCAGTGTGAGTGACAGGGCTGCCTGTGCGTGTGTGGTCATGACAGCGGAGATCAGCATGAATCCGGGAGCTGGATGCAAGCGTGAGCCAGTGACGGGGGGTGGTCCTATCAATACAGCCCCCAGCTGCTCACAAAGCCCTTCTGCTTGCTTTATGTCACCGCCTGCCTCCCTCCTACCACTACCTCCCAAAATGGGAAAGCCTAAGAAGGTGGACAATTCCTTGTCGATGTGGATGTAGAGAGAAATCAAACACTCTGACGGTGATGGGAGCTGCAGCACGCTTCGCTCTACCTGGAACATAATTGTCATTCGTGAGGTATTCTTCTCACATACTTAATGTCTCTATCGTCCCCAAGTCTTGGCAATTGAAGGAGGTATTTCTCCCCATTTTACAGATGCAGAAGTTCAGGAATATTAAATGGTTTAGTTGCGGCCACTGAGTAGGAAGGAGAGCAAAGACACAGAGGCTGCTACTGGGGCTCCTGGTTCTGACCCTTCCGCATCCCAGCGTCTCCACAGAGGTAAGGAGAATCAAACAGGCTATCACCTGGGAAAGGAAGAGTGGATGCAAGAGGGAGGAAAGTGATCAATTCCTCTTCTCAGGTATTATTCATTCCAATTTTCTCAATTTGCCACAAGTGCCAGAAAATGCCGCAACATGAAAAGTGACAACCATAGCTTCTTAGGGGACTCCCCTAAAGCCTTCATCCTTCTGGGTGTGTCTGACAGGCCGTGGCTGGAACTCCCTCTCTTTGTGGTCCTCCTGCTGTCCTATGTGCTGGCCATGTTGGGGAACGTCGCCATCATCCTGGCATCCCGGGTGGATCCTCAACTCCACAGCCCCATGTACATCTTCCTCAGTCACCTGTCCTTCCTGGACCTCTGCTACACCACCACGACAGTCCCTCAGATGCTGGTCAACATGGGCAGTTCCCAGAAGACCATCAGCTATGGAGGCTGCACTGTGCAATATGCAGTCTTCCACTGGCTGGGATGCACGGAGTGCATCGTCCTGGCCGCCATGGCCCTGGACCGCTACGTGGCCATCTGCAAGCCCCTGCACTATGCCGTTCTCATGCACCGTGCTCTCTGTCAGCAGCTCGTGGCTCTGGCCTGGCTCAGTGGCTTCGGCAACTCCTTCGTGCAGGTGGTCCTGACGGTGCAATTGCCATTCTGCGGGCGGCAGGTGCTGAACAACTTTTTCTGTGAGGTGCCGGCCGTGATCAAGCTGTCGTGTGCTGACACCGCTGTGAATGACACCATACTGGCTGTGCTGGTGGCCTTCTTCGTGTTGGTGCCCCTGGCTCTCATCCTTCTCTCCTATGGCTTTATTGCCCGGGCAGTGCTCAGGATCCAGTCCTCCAAGGGACGACACAAGGCCTTTGGGACGTGTTCCTCCCACCTGATGATCGTCTCCCTCTTCTACCTACCTGCGATTTACATGTATCTGCAGCCCCCTTCCAGCTACTCCCAAGAGCAGGGCAAATTTATTTCTCTCTTCTATTCCATAATCACCCCCACTCTCAATCCCTTCACCTACACCCTGAGAAATAAAGATATGAAGGGGGCTCTGAGGAGACTTCTGGCCAGGATCTGGAGGCTCTGTGGATGATGAGGACATGAGATGTAGCATCTCCATCAATTAAAGAACACAGCACAAGTCTATTGTGCACTCAGAGCATCTTTCACTTAAGGAGTTAATACCCAGAGAGCTCAAAAACCCTGTCTTCAAACATCTCACTTCCTGTTATAATGCCCCAAATCCCATAGCGACAAAGTTCATTTTAAACGTATAATTCTAAGAGGCCATATATTTTTAAGCATTGTTTAAATAGACTTCAATAAGTATGTGTGGAATTATTTCACTTCCAATTTCCTGATTCTTTTCTCTTTTCCTCTTCCTATATTTCTTTTATTCTCTCCCCATTTGTCTCTTTTCTATTACTCCTAAGTATACACAAGATGAAGCTGAAATACAATCTTATTTTACTTACAATGAATAAGTGTTTTTCTCCATATACTTAAATCTCCACAAATTTTACACGACTTTTTCAGACAATTCCAGGAATGAAGTAGATTGCTATCTTCTTCCTGTGATTTTGATTTTTTTTTCTCTGTAGTTCACATTTTCTTCTATAGAAAGTTTTTCCATGAAATGTAAACTAGTACAAACACTAGTACAACCACGATGGAAAACATTGTGGATCCTTAAAGAACAAAAAGTAGATCTACCATTTGATCCAGCAATCCCACTACGGGGCATCTACCCAGAGGAAAATAAGTCATTATACGAAAAAGATACTTGCTCATGCGTGTTTATAGCAGCACAATTTGCAATTGGAAAAATATGGAACCATCTGGGCGCAGTGGCTCATGCCTGTAATCCCAGCACTTTGGGAGGCCGAGGCGGGTGAATCACAAGGTCAGGAGTTCAAGACCAGCCTGGCCAAGATGGTGAAACCCCATCTCTACTAAAAATACAAAAATTAGCTGGGCATGGTGGCACACGCCTGTAATCCCAGCTACTCAGGAGGCTGAGGCAGAGAATTGCTTGAACCCGGGAGGCGGAGGTTGCAGTGAGCCGAGATCGCGCCTCTGCACTCCAGACTGGGCGACAGAGCAAGACTCCATCTCAAAAAAAAAAGAAAAAGAAAATGTGAGATATATACCATGGAAAAATACTATTCAGCCATAAAAAGGAATGAAATAATGGCATTCTCAGCAACCTGGCCAGTTTTAATGTCCTAATGCCCAAAGGTTCTCTTTCTCTCTTTCAAGCTCAGCTATGTGTTTCTGATTACATTATTTATATAGGTTATCAAAGTGTTTGTAGCAGGAAGGCAGTCGGTAATAGTTCACCAAGATGCAGAAACCCAGTCTCCAGTTGGTGCTGCTCAGAAGTGCTAACAAGACAGAGTTTGCAACAGAATGTAAATCTCATACTGTTTCCCTTATAAAAATAGTCTTCAGGGTTTTTTTTAAATGTCAGCTCATCTAAAAGGTATGTTTAATAATGTGATTGTTTTACATTCTTATACAAGCTCCTTATATCGACAGTTCATAGACTACACTTTGAGTAGCAAAGTGTGGCTACTTTGATGGCTAATTGTACAGAGGAAATAGTATTTCCATCCTGAGCAATTCCATGCGGTTTAAGAGTTGTCCATGTGTAGAGAAGCAATTAGTAAATATTTCCTTATAACTTAATGCTCTGTGAAGTATAATAGATGAACTGTTCCTCGGATGGGATAAATCCAAAATAAGCTGTTATCAACTGAAAGCAAGATGCATCTTCTACATAATACTTCTAGTTAGGAGCGCAGGCTCTGATACTCTCAAACCTTTCCCTCCACGATTTTCAATCTCCTATCCTATCAAAGATGAAATTCCACTCATTACAGTTAGAGTGAGGTAACGTTTTAAAAATTATCTACAATGGAATCATTTGCCAAAGTGACTTTTAAAATGCACCAAACAATTTAATTTATCTTTAGTGGTTTAGAGAAATAATTTGAAAAATTTCTAGGTACTCTTTTTTAAAATTAAGAAAAGGAATCAATTTAATTAAATACCAAAAAGTTTTACATATTCCTGAATTTTCAACCAGCTACAAAAAGCATGGATTTTTCTTATTAGAAAACAAAACTGTTACAAAAAATTTAAATAAATAAATAGCTGCCATAAAATTTCAACATAATATATAGTCAACTAGTTCTGTGTTATGGTCAGTTAATAGAAAGATAGCGGGAATGATGATATGAGCAAAAGTAAACAGAACAAAGAAGAAAAAAGATAGGAAAAAGAAAGTTAGACAGAGAAGAGAAAAATAAAGAAAGTGCTTTATTGAATGAGCTAATTACATGAGGTCACCAAGAGGAACATCCTCTAACTGAGGCGCTGTGATGACAACAACACCCGATGCTGTCATTGTCCTGGTGTCTTCCTCACCCTGGCGTAAAGGAGATGCCCAAGCTCTGCACAGGAAGGCATCGTCGGCAAGCTCTCTTCTCCGACACTCCACCGGAAGGATCACAGAGCTGTGGTCTTGGCCTGGATGGATCGCAGCTCTCTCCACCTGAGGGCCCCCAGCTGGAGGGACCGGAGAACACTGGCGTCTGGCAGCCCCGTTTCCACTCCTACCAAGAAGGCTCAAAGACGACGGTCAGCTCAGGCTTTTCTTCTTGAAGTGTTTCTAACGCACTTTTTGTCTCATAATTGAAATACATTTCAGACAACCTGTAAAAGCAAATAGAAAGCCTGGGTTGCACTCTTCAGATAACTCTGTCAGAGTCGTTAACCTTAAAAGTCTCATCTCTTCATTTCCCTAAACTCCACACACTTCTAAAATGTAAAAAAAAAAAAAAAAAAAAAAGAGGGACCACAACTCCCAGAGTGCTCCGCGTCCTCGCCGCCGTCGCCGCCGCCGAGACCAAGATGGCCGCGAGACTCCGCACCTTCTTCAAGAATGCCTGGGCCAAGGAGCCGGTGCTCGTCGTGTCCTTCGTCACTGGGAGCCTCAGACCCCCAGGACCCCAGCCTGGAGTGGCTGAAGAAACTGTGAGCACCTCCAATGACAGAGGAGGCCCCTCCCACGGCTCCCAATAAAAATGTGGGGAAAAAAAAAAAAAAGCTCTAAGTGCCCAATGTGGTTCCTGTTATATTTTTAACTATCTAGTTGGGAAAATGTTAAGCATACATAAAAGTATAGAAAATAGTATAATGAACCCCCTGTGTCCATTACCCAAGTTCGACAATTAAACAGGTCATGTCAACTTGTTTCTTCTATTGCCCACCCACTCCTCCCACCCATGGATTATTTTAAATACTGCATTTAATGCATCTATCAATAATTCACTTTGTGACACTAAAATATAATTACAATGTCACTATCACACCAAAATCGTTTAACAATAATTTCTTAGTATCACTGTATGTCCAGTCAGCATTTACGCTTCCTCAACTGTCTTGTAAATTTTTTTACCTTATGTTCATTTAGTCACTAACCTGATCAATTCTACACATTGCATTTGCCCAGGATGCCTCTCACATCTTCGATGTAAGTTCTTCCTCCTCTTTAATAAAGTTTCCCTTGCAACTTAACTAATAAATCCACCCATTTGTCCTGCACCATTTATAACCATCTCAATTTGGTGGTGTTATATACTGAATGTTTGTCTTCCTTAACAATTCCCATGATGAAGCCCGAACCCCTAATGTACGGTACTTAAAGGTGAGGCCCTTGGGAAGTAGTTAGAGTTAGATGAAGTTGTGAGGGTGGGGCCCTCAGTATGGGGTGAGTGCCCTTACAGGAGAGATATCAGAGAGTTTGTTCTTTCTCCCCTGTCTTCTCTCCCTTGCCTCCCCTCCCTCCATGCAATCACATAACAAGAAGGTAGCCATCTGCAAATCAGGAAGAGGACTCTCGCCAGCAACCAAATTCATCAGAGACTTGATTTTGGACTTTCTAGCCTCCAGTATTGTGAGATAATAAATCTGTGTTTGAGTCACACAGTCTAAAGCAGCTTGTTATCGCAGCCTGAGAAAACGGGTTGATTGCATTCATGGATTCTTCAATCTATTTTGAGCCTGTCCCTCAGCCTGGGTCCAGAATGTCCCTCAGGGCTAGGTCAGTGATGCTACATGTAGCAGTGTCCCCAGCTTTGACCTGACCAATCCTTTGTTTGTTCCCCCATCTCTCTTAGCTCTGGGAATATTGGCTTGTCCTGCAGCAAATGTGCTCCATTATGTTGGCACAAGGATGCAAGGCTGATTCAAACTTGTATTTATTCAAACCTGCATTCCAACAAGTTCTCAGCCTTGAGATCATTAATATGGACAGAAGTCCCTGGACTAATGGAATTTATATTTTGGGAGCAGAGATAGATAATAAATAAACAAGAAAATGACATAGCACATAAGATGTGCTACACTGCAGAGGAGAATGAGAAGAGAAGAAAAAGTGCTTCTATTTTCAGTAGAATAGTCAAAGACAGCCTCGCAGAGAAGACCTTTAAGCAGAGAATTTAGGAAGGTACAGGGAATAATGCAGGTGGATACTGAAGGGGAGAGAGTTCTAGGCCAGAAGAAAAGCAAGTGCAAAAATCCAGAGATGACAGTGTTCTTGCAAAACAGCAAGGAGATCACTGTACTGGGGCAGAATAAGCAAGGGTTGGGAGAAGCGGAATCTTCGGAAGCAGGAGAGGCTGGATTATGTGGGGCATGGAAGCCACCATGAGTTTGTTGCTCTGATTATGAAAGTGATAAGAAGACGATGTTGACAAGAGTGATATGATGCGAGTTACGTTTTAGCTGAATCCCTTGTCTGCTAAAATCAGAATAACAGATGCAGGGTGACCTGTCAGAATGCCACCATGACAATCCAGACACCAGGTGATGGTGGCTTGAGCCAAGGAAGAAGCCGTGAAGCTGGCCTGAAGTGGTCAGGGAGTGGCCAAGCTGGGAAGGCAGAGCTCACAGGATGTGCTGACACATTGGACATGATTATAAGGAAAAAGAGACAGTGACGACAGAACCAGAAATGTTTTGGCCCGAGCAACTTGGAGGAAGTGACCATCGACTGAAATGGGGAAGAATCAGGTTTCGGGTAGAAGAGAGTAGCAAGGGTGTGGATCTAGATGTGACGTTTGAGAGGTTTATTAAACCTTCAAGAAGAAAGATCAGCCAAGCACGGAGACACAGAATTTATGGACATATAATCTGGAGGCCACAGCACACATATCATGAAGCCAGAAGACCAGATAATTTAAATGAGGGAGAAAGTGTAGGGAAGAAAAATTAGCCCAGCGACTAAGCTCTGAGGATTCAACACATAAGGGTCAGGATGATGAAGAAGAGGCCAGAAAGGAGACTGAGTAGAAGGATCTGATGAAATAGGAGAAAACCCAGGAGAGCATGTTGGCCTTAAAGCCAAGCAGTGAAAACGTCTTCAGGGAAAAGTGCAATCATCACGGCTGACAGAACCGTGGGACTCGCCAGGAAGCTCTTGCTAGAGAGGAGACGACTACCTCAGTAGTATCACAGAGGTGGGCTGGCAATATCCTGACACACTGTCGAATTTCGTGTAATTTCCCATCTTGCTATTCCTGGAGCACTCTTTTCCCATTTAGAAATCCTCAGAAACCGCCAGGCACGGAGGCTCACACCTGTAATCCCAGCACTTGGGGAGGCCGAGGCAGGCAGATCACGAGGTCAGGAGATGGAGACCATCCTGGCTAACACAGTGAAACCCCAACTCTACTAAAAATACAAAAAATTAGCCGGGTGTGGTGGCAGGCGCCTGTGGTCCCAGCTACTTGGGAGGCCGAGGCAGGAGAATGGCGTGAACCCGGGAGGCGGAGCTTGCAGTGAGCCGAGATCATGCCACTGCACTCCAGCCTGGGCGACAGAGCAAGACTCTGTCTCAAGGAAAAAAAAAATAAATCCTCAGAAACAAAACAACAAGATCCCCACTATGTAAAGACCCTTCCAATTTGGATGACCCATAGACGAGTTCTACGAAGTTCGGTTCCTTGTGTAGAACAGAATCCTCCTTGGCCATGATCGCATGAGGGCTTGTGTTTCTTTGGGGAATGTGGGTGAAATCCAGCTTAGCCTTGGTGATTCTAACCATCTCAGTGAAGTGGAATGTGTAGTTTAACCCCATATTCTCTATTTTAAAATATCCACCACAACTGACCCAGGCCCAACCTAATCTTGAGTGGCTGCAAATGAAGCGAGAGCCATCCTGGATTTTGATAACAGTCAACGTTTCCTGAGAACTCAGAGTCCCACCACGGGCATCTCTGCAGAGCACACTCACCCCAGGTTCTGCAGGAGGCAGCTCTGCTGTTTCAGCACTTCACAGAACATCATGACCCCCAGGTCGCCCAGGTCATTGTTGCCCAGGCTCAGCTTTCGCAGGCTCTGGCTGGAGGTCAGAAGTGTGGAAAGATCCCAGCAGCAGTGTGACGTGAGGTTGCAGTTGTCTAATCTGCAAAAAGGGGGTGATTTAAAGAAAATGTCCCCTTAACCATCCCCCTAGCTCCCCAAGATTTTAGCATCTTAGCCTGTCTTGTTTCAGGTGGAAAAAAAAAAAGCACAGGAGCACAGGACTAACTAGCTTCAAGCAGCCTTGTATGCTGGTAATTATTCTTCTCTCTCTTTTTCAAATCCACTGCATTGCACAGATCAAATTAGTAACAGTGGTTTGTTCATTGATTTACCAAATTCTGTGCCTTTCCCTACATTTCCATAAAATGTAAGTGTCATACTGCCCTCCTTGTTTTGTGGTACAGAAAACTGTGATGGTAAGGACTCAAGTTCCTACATCTATATCATCTGGAAGGACTCCTCCCAGTCCCATGATCCTGTAACAAGGCAAACACTAAGAAGACACCTCACTTCTAAGATACAGATTATCTTGTGGCCACTCTGCCTAAACGTCCCTCCACCCTTGGCCACCATGTGTTCTCATTGCTGTAATAAACCAAAGGACTTACTCCAACACCTGAAGCTTGCAGTCGGGGTGCAAGAGTCCCTCACAGAGTAGTTTGATCCCCTTGTCTCCGAGAGTGTTGCCTCGCAGGTAAAGGTGCGTGAGATTCTGATTAGTGCTGAGTACCGAGGACAAAGCTGAACAACAGACTGACGTAAGGCCAGAATTCACCAACCTGTAGAAGGACAGGGAGAAGAGTCCTCAGTACCCAGCTGTTCCCCAACATTGTGCAGCTGCTTTGACTCAGTGCCTCGTCCTCTCTCAGCAGCTGCAGCCTTCAGCTCAGAGAGCAGGAGCCAGCATCTCAGATATGATCTGG
Source organism: Homo sapiens (assembly GCF_000001405.40). Taxonomy (NCBI): domain Eukaryota; kingdom Metazoa; phylum Chordata; class Mammalia; order Primates; family Hominidae; genus Homo; species Homo sapiens. Next base: position 247,443,827 of record NC_000001.11, on the reverse strand, counting down.
GGAGAGCAAGACCTGCTGTCTCTGGCTGTCACAGGAGACACAAATGATGTCTCAGCAGATGCTTTGCTGTATGAGTCCGACAGAAAGAGCCAAGGCAAACTGAGCCAGTTACCCCATACTCCTCCTCCTCCTCACACAGCTTTCCTCCGGCCAGGAGTGCTCCTCAGCACCACTTCTTCCAGAAACACATCCCAGTGGTTATCCTCAACTAATAATCCCCGTAACACTGCAGACACCCACACTGCAGGGGCCTTTTTTTTTTTTTTTAAGAGAGACAGGAAAAAAAAATCCTCCTCATGGGAAGTCGGTGCTGATTTAAACATCAAAGACAACAGGTGAACGTCCATTGTGACCTTCTAAGCTGTAGCTAGGGCTGTGACAGGAACACGGCGGGGCCCTTAGCAATTGCCACCTCCCGCCTTCCTGCGCCCCCAAATGCCCCTTTCACATCTTTCTCGCTGCAGCCCTCAACCACGTTGGAGAGGTGGGAGGATCGCTTGAGTCCAGGAAGTCGAGGCTGCAGTGAGCCATGATTGCGCTGCCACACTCTAGCCTGGGTGACAGAGTGAGACCCTGCCTAAATAAATAAATAAATAAGGCCAGGTGCAGTGGCTTATGCCTGTAATCCCAGCACTTTGGGAGGTCCAGCACTTTGGGAGGGTGGATCACGAGGTCAGGAGTTCAAAACCAGCCTGGCCAACATGGTGAAAGCCCATCTCTACTAAAAATATAAAAATTAGTTAGGGTGGTGGTGGGCACCTGTAATCCCAGCTACTTGGGAGGCTGAGGCAGGAGAATTGCTTGAACCTGGGAGGCAGAGGTTGCAGTGAGCCGAGATTGCCACTGCACTTCAACCTGGGCAACAAAGTGAGACTCTGTCTCAAAAATAAATAAATAAATAGAAAAAGCCAGGCTCTTGCTCAGTCACCCAGGCCAAGTGCACAGCTCACTGCAGTCTTAAACTCCTGGGCTCAGACAATCCACCCACCTTGGCCTCCCAAAGTGCTGGGATTACAGGCATGAGCCACTGTGCCTGACCCAGAGACCAGTCTTATTTGATTATTATATCAACCTGGCAAGGAAGGAGTGCAGCTAAAACTATTACATACATTTTACATATTAGAAATCTAAGGCTTATAAAAATTACATGTTTCTCTCAAGGCCACAGAGCAGGTGTGTGGTGGGGAGGGATCCAGACCTGGACTTTCCACCTTTTAGTCTCATCTTCTCCCCACTGCCCTTTCTGTCCACCTCTCTCTTCCTTCTGCACAGCAAAAGGCCTTTTAGAGCATAAAACCCCAAAAATGCATCAATCTCGATGGAATTAAGAGTTTTGATGTACTATTCTTGAGTCAAATTAAGCCCATTCTATCACCCAGGAAGAGCATAAGAGCTCTAAAATCACTGGTGGCGTAATTCCTAGGAGCACAGATGCTTCTATTCCATGAAGCCAGGAATAGCGCAGGTGATTGCCTCCTTCCTGCCAGAGTCCTTGGCAATGGCATGTTTTTTAAGCTCTTTGGTGTCTACGAGGCAGGAAAAATAGAAATACAGAAAAAGTGTATTCAGACAGTAAAGCATGAACAGATGACCAGCAGGAAAAAGTGATTATCCATCCACTGGTTTCTATCTTCCCAATTAAGGAAGAGTCAAACTGAAAAGACACAGTAAGTAAGACTAATAGGCAAATGAAGCCCAAGAGAGACAGACAAAAACAAAGCAAGTTTTGAGTGGCTTCTACTAAGCTCTCATCCCCGGTAAGAATTCTATCAGAGGGTTGTTGTTAATTAACATGCAGAAGGGATTAGTAGCATTCCTGGCAAAGGCCAGGGACATTCTAGTAGAATGGGGATGGTCTTCAAAGAGGAAAAGAGAAAATATTTTTTAAATTATGTAATTAAAGTTATGCAGGCTTTACCACTATTTCCAAAAAGGAGTAGAATGGATTATTCAACAGATGTTTGGGGAGCACTACACAGTAGTAGTAGAAATTGCAACAGACGGTGCAGTTTTGTTAAGAAAACGTCATATCCAAATTGTGAAAATGCTGGTAACTATTAAGCAACGGTTACACTGAACACATAATAAAATGTTTAAAGAATCAAACAACCATGTCCCACCAACCAATCCTTGGATTAGAGGAATGTGATTGACATCTCGATTTCAACCAATCCACCTAACTGAGCTCTACATTTACCAAGCACGGATATCTTGCCATGTACTGTATTAAGTTAATTGGTTGGGGATTTTTATTTATTAACTACCTGCCTATGTCACAAAACTGTCTCATAATGAAAACTGAATCCCAGTGCTTTGGGAGGCCAAGGTGGGAGGACCACTTGAGGCCAGGAGTTTGAGACCAGCCTGGGCAACATAGCAAGACCCTGTCTCTACATAAAAAATTTTAAACATTTTAAACATTACCCAGGCATGGTAGTACACACCTGTAGTCCTAGCTAGTCAGAAGGCTGAGGCAGGAAGATTGCTTGAGCCCAGGAGAGTTCAAGGCTACAGTGAGCTATGATCCTACCACTGCACTCCAGTCTGAGCCACAGAGCAAAACCCTGTCTTAAAAAAAGAAAAGAAAAGAAAGGAAAATAAGGAAAGGAAAGGGGAAAGGGAAAGGGGGGGGGGAGGGGAAGGGAAGGGAGAAAGAGAAAGAAAGAAAGAGAGAGAGAGAGAAAGAAAGAAAGAAAGAGAAAAAGAAAAAGAGAGAAAGAAAGGAGGAGGAGGAAGAAGGAAGGAAGGAAGGAAGGAATCTGAAGAAGAAGATCAAACATTTTTTGAGTATTTATTGTGTGCTTGACATGGATGACGACTTTAAACAGGGTTATCTCATTGAATGATCACAACCTCAAGATGGGAATGTTAGTTTTATCCCTGCTTTTAAATGGACAAAATGAGGATCACAGTAATTAAAAAATAAGTAGGAGCTTCTTAGATGGATAGTAGAAAGTGGGAAAGTGGGGGTAACCTTCCAGGCAAAAGGAAAAGAGTAGCAAGAATAAGGAAGATTAAAAGAACCACCAAGATGTTTCAAAACTAATTCATAGCTGGGCACAGTGATGTCCACCTATAGTCCCAGCTACTTGGGCGGCTGAGACGGGAGGATTGCTTGAGCCCAGGAGTGCAGATGAGATCAGGCACTCTGGGTGGTATGGCTGTAGATGAACCCAGGAATTCAAATTCAGCCTGAGCATCATAGCAAGTCCCCATCTCTAAAACAGCAAAACAAAACTCATCCAATATGACTCAAAATGGAGTGCAAGGTATGGCAGGAGAGAGGGCAGTATCAGGGACAGCCTTGTGTGCCAAGCTAAGATGTCACTCTGACTGCAGAGAAGAACTTTTGAAGATTTTTGAACAAAGGGTCAATATTTTCAAATTTGCATCTTAAAAAGTTCCCTCTGGTGTAGTGATGAGTGGTAGAGGGAACCGAAAGCAGAGCATTTAGGACCGTCCCCCGTTTACTCACTCAGCAGCCTCCTGGAAAGCCCCACTATTCAATGAGGCAGGAGGAAGAGGGCAGGAGCAGGTCAGAGAACGGGGGTGGAAGGTGGGGTATGATAATTAAACCAATGTTGCAAATGCTCAGCATGTGTGACCCTTGAGCAGTATTGAGACAGGCAGTACACAATATGCAGCCAGAGATGAGGACCCAAAGTTCGAGAGAAAAAAATGTAGCTATACCTAACACATAGGCTATACCTAACACATAGGCTATACCTAACACGTAGGCTATACCTAACCCATAGGCTATACCTAACACACAGGCTATGCCTAACCCATAGGCTATACCTAACACACAGCCACATGTATGGCTGTACCTAACACATAAAATGCATAAAAGTCTCGACTGATTAATGCCACTTATAGATACCTATCTCAAAGCAAATACACATGCATAAAACTATATATACAAATGTGCTTTTTGCAGAGTTGTTTGTAATAGTGGAAAAGAACAGTTATCCCAAAATGCATGATTTGATTAAATAAATTATGGTAAAGCACACTATGGGATATTATGCCCCAATCGATAGATCTACACAAATCAGCATGGAAATTTATCCATGATAAATGAAAAAAGGATATCACAGAAAAATATTTATATTATGGTTCTAGTTTCAATAGATAGGGTGTTATGGATTGAATTGTTTCCTCTAAGACTTTATATGTGGAAGTCCTAGGCCCCAGTACTTCAGATTGTGACCTTATTTGGTGATACGGTTACTGAAAATGTAATTAGTTAAGATCAGGTCGTTACAAATCTAACATGACTTGTGTTCTTTCACAGGGAAACTTGGGACATGGAGAAAGACACACACAGACACAGGGAAGACACCACGTAGAGATAAAGGCAATGGTGTGGCAGAGGCATCTACAGGTCAAGGAATGGCAAAATGTGTCAGCAAGATGACATTCCACCAGAAGCCAAAGAGAAGCATGAACAGATTCCCCACAGCCCTCAGAAGGACCCAGCCTGCTAGCATCTTAATCTCACACTTCTGGCCTCCAGAACTGAGGGACAATAAATTTCTGTTGTTTAAGCTGCTCTGTTTGTGATACTTTATTACAGTAGCTCTAACAGACTAGGCATTTAAAATACTACATAACAATGTATTACAAATGCAACATGAAAATCACATAGGTCTTCATTCACATTACTGATATAAATACCACCCAGATCAGCATATACAGGAAATCCATTTGTCCATAATTAGCAACCAATATATGTTCACAAAGCTCTGATACTCCCTTGGATGGATTGATGGATGGATGGATGGATGGATGGATGGATGGATGGATGGATTGACGGATGGAAAATAGAGGGATGGATGATGGATGGATGGATGGATGGACAGATGAATGGATTATATAACAATCTATTGTATTAAAAAAAGTCTGGATGGTTGTTCATCAGACTATTGTAAATGGCTCTCTCAGAAGAGGGCTGAGAAGGAGCTTTCACTTTCCACTTTGTCTGTACTATGATATGTTTACACCAAGCATGTGTTACTTTTCTAATAAAAAGTTTGTGAATGATATCTGGGTTTGAGACCTACTGTTGTTGAAATTGAGAGGTATATGAGAATTCTCAGGGAGTTTAGAAATATTTAGTAACAACAACAACAAAAAAGGTAAACCAGGCGGGTGTGTGGCTCACGCCTGTAATCCCAACACTTTGGGAGGCCAAGGCAGGCAGATCACCTGAGGTCAGAAATTCGAGACCAGCCTGGCAAACATGGTGAAACCCCGTATCTACTAAAAATACAAAAATTAGCCAGGCATGGCAGTGCACACCTGTAGTCCCTGCTACTCAGAAGGCTGAGGCAGAAGAATTGTTGGAACCCGGGAGGCAGAGGTTGCAGTGAGCCAAGATTGCGCCACTGCATTTTAGCCTGGGTGACAGAGTAAGACTCCAACTCAAAAAAAAAAAAAAAAAAAAAAACACAACTAAACCAGTCGTGAAATCCCCAGACCACAGGAAGAGAAGCCAATGCAGGATCCAGGGAGGGGGAAGCTATAACATTAGCAGGAAAGACTAAGTAGTGACCTAAAAATAAGAGCGAAGAAGGCTTCCAAAGAGGAAGAGTGAAATGAATTAAAGGCAGCAGATGTCAACTAAAGTAAGGACTGGGAAGGACCTGTACGACCTATAAGGACCCAGCCTGCTGATGCCTCAGTCTCAGACTTTGGCCTCCTGAACTGAGAGGCAATAAACTCTTGTTGTTTAGGCCGCTCTGTTTGTGATACTTTATTACAGCAGCTCTACCAGGTTAGGTATTGACAATAGTAACTACATAGAGCATATTACAGATGCATCAGGCACATTTGTAATTGGCTTGTTTGTCATGTGGAATTTGGAACCAGGATCACTGAGAGTCACCTGAGTGCCTACGCCTGGGCCTCTTCGGTTCCATCTGCTTTGCCTGGAGGGCTCTTCCGGCTCCTTCACAGCCCATCCCACGCTTCACTGAGCACCTGCTCCAATGTCACCCGCTCGGAGAGGCACTCGCCAAACGTGAGCAGAGAAGCACCCCTCGCCGTCACTCCAGTTTTTCTTATAGCTCTTATACACAGGGTATATTGTTTAGCATGTCTATTATCTGTTATCACTTCCCTAAAAGAACGGTTGTGAAAACAGGATTTTGGTCTGTTTTACTCACTGCTGCTGTCAGTGCCCACCACAGAGCCCCCAGAGGGCCTGCAAAATGAAGGGACAAAATCATGTCTGTTGAACAAACTTAGAGAAGCAGAAGTCAAATTGCCAAGGAAGAGTAATATTCTAAGGCGATTTGCTAAGGAAGGGTAATACCCTAAGGCGAGGAAATGAAGGCACTGCAGGAAGACTTCATAGAAAGAGATATGGTCACATCTGAGGATTGGCTGATGGGAGAGGTCCAAGGAAGTATCAGAGCTTTGTGAACAGAGGTTGGTTGTTAATTATGGATTAGTGGATTACTCCTCTGGGAAGACCTTTCCTGCCAAATTTTGTCTTGAATGCTGATCTGGCTGGTATATATATTAATAATGTGAATGAATGAAGACCTATCCAATTTGCTTATTGTATTTGTAGATATTATTGTCAGAATGAAGATTCAAAACTGCCTAGTCAATGGGTCAAAAGACAGGTAAGATGAGGTTTAGCAAAGCTAAATTGGAGGTCCCACCCTTAAGCTGAGAGCCAGATGAAGAAGCCCTGTAGAGAGCCCATTAGCAACATCTCCTAAGGCAATGCACTGGGAATTAAGGCAGTGGCTTGGGAGGTCACAGACGTTTGTCTACACTGAGTTCCACTACCTTCTCTCTGAGTGTCCTTGGACAAAGTTATGAGGCTCCCTGAATTTTATTTTCTCCTCTTTAAATTGGAGACACAGATACCCTACCCTATAGCATCTTTCTGAAGCCAACTGAGAAAATCCATGTAAGAACATGAAAGAGCAGGTGATACAGGGAAAGTGATACAGGAAAGTGGTACAGGGAAAGTGCATGATTATTAGTGGGTATTCCCTACTACTGTTTACTGCAGAATTCCAACATGAATCAAAAGGCTTATGTAACTGCCAAAAAAAACAAGGAAATCAGAGATTCCACCAGTGAAACCATAGTTCTCTGCAACAGGAGGTAAAACATCCACCATGCATCATCAGGTCTGGGCACCACATTTCAAAGACAGACACTAACAAACCAGCCTGTGTACCTGGGAGAGCATGGCTACATAGGTGAAGGTGCTGAGCCATGACACTGTTGAGGATATAGAGGCTGCAGTGTAAGAGTCCTCTCCTAGTGTAGAGGCTGCAGGGTGAGAGCTCTTTCCTAGTGTAGAGGCTGCATGCACTATGCGATAACTTGCATGCTTGCAAGCATGCACACATAAAATGGGTGACTATTCATGTGAGTGTCTTGGAAGCAAGTTTTTCCCTCAACAGGCAATTGGGCTGCACCATCTCTAAGGTTTCTTCCAACACTAAGAAACTCTAGTTCTATAATCATAAATTAGCATAAATTATCTTATTAGCAGCAGTATACATTATATGCCTCCAGTCCTTCAAAGCATTTCTGATGTTTTTACCTCCTTACTCTACCTTCAGCTCTGCCTGACCAAAGTAACCCCCATCCACATTTTCCAAATAATTCACCTCTGAAAAGAAGTTACTTTTCTGGTAAGACACCCATGAAGACTTACCCCAGTTTCTGCAGGTTACACTGTGGATTCTTGGCTTTTTCACATAAAATTGCGACTCCTGAGTCTCCCAAGGCATTCTCCCCCACATAGAGTCTGGTCAGGGAATGGCTGGTGCTCAATACTGATGCAAGATCCTGACAACATGCTGATGTGAGGCAGCAGCTGACCAACCTTCCATAGAGATGGCAGAATGTCAGTCATGTCTCTCACCCACGCTCCACCATGGACAAGGAAGCACCCGTACCTGCCACTGCCTCTACTCCAGTTTACACATGGAAAGGGAGTGGACACAAGCTCTATGTACACTTCTGATTTCCTTTTCCATTTGGTGGAATAACAAGTAAGCATTCTCCAAGCTCCCACCAATACTACATCTTCCCAGCTCCCTACATTCAGCTTTATTGTGGTAAAATACGTGTAAAATAAAATTTACCATTTTAACCATTTTTAAGTGCACAATTAATGGCCTTAAGCACTTCACATTGTTGTGCAACCATCACCACCACCATCTCCAGAACTCCTTTCATCTTGCAGAACTGAAACTCCATAACCATTAAACAATGTCTTCCCACTCTCCGCCCTCCCATTGCCTGCAACCACGTTTCTTCCTGTCTCTATGAATCTGTCTGTTCTAGACACCTCCTATAAGGACAATCAGAGTATTTGCCCTTTCGAGTCTAGCTTATCTTACTTAGCATAATGTCCCCGAGGCTCATCCATGTTGTAGTGTGTACTAGAATTCTTTTTAAAGCTGAATGTACATATATAGCACTTTTCAACACCCTTCATCCGTTGAAGGACGTTTGGTTATTTCCACCTTTTGGCTATTTCTAATAGTGTTGCTATGGACATAGATGTACAAATAACATGTTTGAGTTCCTGCCTTCTGTTTTTTTTAATGCTTCCTCTGTCACCCAGGCGGGAGTACAGTGACGGGATCTTGACTCACTGCAACCCCCGCCTCCCAGGTTCAAAAGATTCTCTTGCCTCCACCCCGAGTAACTGGGATTACAGGCATGCACCACCATGCCTGGCTAATTTTTGTATTTTTAGTAGAGACAAGGTTTTACTATGATGGCCAGGCTAGTCTCGAACTCCCGACCTCCAGTGATCCACCTGCCTCAGCCTCCCAAAATGCTGGGATTACAGGTGTGAGCCACCGCTCCTGGCTGAGTTCCTGCTTTGAACTCTTTTGCAGATATACCCAGCAGTGGAAATGCTGGCTCCAGTAGTAATTCTGTATTTATTTTTTAGGAATTGCTGTGCTGTTTTCCATAGTGGCTGCATCATTTACATTCCCACCAGCAACACACAATGGCTTCCATTTCTCCGCACCCACACCAATACTTGTTGTTTTCTAGTTTTCTTGCTTTTGTTTGATAATAGCCATCCTAATGGGTGAGAAATGGCCCTTCCATTTTTAAGTGGTTTTTTCTCTCCTTCAAAATGCAAGTCTCCCAGAAGCACTCAGGGAAGGGCTGCATACAACATCGAGGGTCTGCATTGCTTTAGCACCATTTTTCTTATACAATATGAGGACCCAGGGCTTGTCATGAAGTTCTAAAACTCCTCTAAAGCAATGCATTACACTGATTTTTTCTTTTTGTCAGCTAGGCAGTAGGCACCCTAAAGGCAGACATCTTCTTTTTGTTATTATTTATGCTCCTTGTCAGGGTTGAGTGTGTGGCTTTCCCCACGACAAACACTCACTGACCGCAATGCTAGACACCCCAAGACAAGCACACGCAGTCACCCGAGCCGCCAAGGCCATTCTCACTCAAACCCCAGCCCACCGGGCCTCACTGAAGCCAGAGTGCGCAGCACGCCTCGCTGGCAGAACTTCCTTAGGGGAACGGGCTCGACTCACCAGAGCTTCTTCAGATTGCACAACAGGTGCTTCAGTCCCACACACAGAAGTCTGATTCCGAAGTCACCGAGGGCGTTGTCACTCAGGTCCAGCTCCACCAGCTTCTGGTTGCTGCTGAGGACCAAGGAGATGTCGAAGCAGCACTCATGCGAGAGGCCACAGCGCCCCAACCTTCATGCCAAGAACAGAGGCAGAAAGCATCAGAACACACCTGACCAGAGAGCTCCAGAACAGAGGAAGCATCAGGACACACCTGATCAGGAAGCTCCGGAATAGAGAAAGCATCAGAACACATCTGATCAGAGAGCTCCGGAATACAGAAAGCATCAGAACACACCTGACCAGAGAGCTCCGGAATAGAGAAAGCATCAGAACACATCTGACCAGAGAGCTCCAGAATAGAGAAAGCATCAGGACACACCTGACAAGAGAGCTCTGGAATAGAGAAAGCATCAGGACACACCTGACCAGAGAGCTCTGGAATAGAGAATGCATCAGGACACACCTGACCAGAGAGCTCCGGAATAGAGAAAGCATCAGGACACACCTGACCAGAGAGCTCCGGAATAGAGAAAGCATCAGGACACACCTGACCAGAGAGCTCTGGAATAGAGAAAGCATCAGGACACACCTGACCAGAGAGCTCTGGAATAGAGAAAGCATCAGAATACACCTGACCAGAGAGCTCCGGAATACAGCACAAGGCACATTGGGAGGTCAGCCCCCAGTCTCCCCAGTCACAGCAGAGGGATCACCTGTCAGTGAACTCCCGGCCGTAAACAGTGCCGGGTGCATTGAGATCACCCCCCAGACATGTGAATGGTGCGCTCCTGGTTTGTAAGTGAAGCGGGCGGTGTGGGCCTGTGCACCCACCTCCTTCCCTCGTGTTCCTAACCATTGACGTGCCCGCAGTCGGCACTGCCCTCGCCAGTGCTGCACTCAGCTATTTCTTGTCTTCACCAACATTGTCACCCCATTGTGTTTGACGATTTCATCCCAGCCCTCCATCTATATTGAAAGGAAAAGCAGCTCTGATTCTTTTTCTTTTCTTTTCTTTTCTTTTTTTAAAGACAGGGTCTCACTTTGTTGCACAGGCTGGAGTGCACTGGCGAGATCATAGCTCACTGCCACCTCGAACTCCTGGGCTCAAGGGATCCACCTGCCTCAGCCTCCCAAGTGGCTGCAAATACAGGCATGTGCTACCATGCTTAGCCATTTTATTTTATTTATATTTTATTTTTATTATTATTATTATCTTCTAAAGACAAGGTCTCACCAGCTTGCTCAGGCTGGTTTTGAACTCCTGGGCTCAGGTGATCTGCCCACCTCAGCCTCTCAAAGTGCTGGGATTCCACATCCCGCTGCAGCTCTGATTCTTGATTAGTTTCCCCGTCACACACATGCACACAAACACACACGCACATCACTACCACCGTCACCACCACCACCAGCAACAAAAACTATACTTTATCCCTGTCATGGGGGCAAGAACAACATTCTAGCTTCTTTCCAGGGCAATAGTTCATAGGTCCTGGAGCCTGTTAGACCACCTTCCTTTCTGTCCCTATCCTTACACCAACTTCAAGCAAATGGACAAATGGATCTCTACTTCTCTGCGAAGCATCTCACTGTCCCCTACCCTTCCCTGTTTGTGTCTGCCTCTCCAGAATCATACAGGGGCAATGGCAGTGGGGAGAGAATTTGGGCATGAAGTTGGAGAAATAAGGTTAAATGTCCCAAACAACCAGTCTCCATGGCACTACGATTTGAAATTTACCAAAAGAGCAAAGATGAAGAGTGTGATCTATATACATAATGGAATACTGCTCAGCCATAGAAAAGAATGAAGTCACATCTTTGAAGCCACACAGATGGAACTGGAGGCCATTACCTTAAGTGAAACAACTCAGAAACAGAGTCAAATACCACACGTTCTCACTTACAAGTGGGAGCTAAACAAAGGGTAACATCCATAGAGCATGGAATGATAGACACTAGAGCCTCAGAAGGGTGGGAGGGTGGGAGCCAGGTGAGGGCTGGAAAATTATTTATTGGGTACAATGTTCACTATTTGGGTAAGAGTTACACTAAGGCCGGGCACGGTGGCTCACGCCTGTAATCCCAGCACTTTGGGAGGCCGAGGCGGGTGGATCACGAGGTCAGGAGTTTGAGACCAGCCTAGCCAATACGGTGAAACCTTGTCCCTACTAAAAATACAAAAATCAGCTGGGCGTGGTGGCCCATGCCTGTAATCCCAACTACTCGAAGAATTGCTTGAACCCAGGAGGTGGATGTTGCAGTGAGCCGAGATCACTCCACTGTACTCCAGCCTGGGCAACACGGCGAGAGTCCATCTCAAAAAAAAAGGGGTAGTTACAGTAAAAGCCCAGACACTACCACTGTGCAGTAACATATCCATGAAACAAAGCTGCTCTTGCGCCCCCTACATCTACAAAAATAAATACATAAAGTAAAAAATAAAGAGCAGAGCAGACAGAAAGCATTTAAGCCACCGAACAGCACAATCGAATCAGAATTTTCTAAAGGACCATCTTACTTTTGTGCAGAGAATGGTCGGGTGAGGGAAAAAGGCAGACACAGGGAGACCAAAGAGCCAACATTCATTCAGTGCGTGCTTTTGACCACTGATGGGTACTAAGATGTCTGTCCAGGCGTGGCAAAGATGACAGCAAGACAAACAAACGCAAACCCCATCCCCGGGGAGCTGATGGTCTAGGAGGTCACTGCGTGTCCAGGCAAGTGGTGACAGTTGCTGGACCTGGGCTGGTGGGGTGAGGACGAGGAAAAGTGGAAAACAGCTCGGGTAGGAGGAAAAATTGATAAGACTGGTGACAAGGTGAGTGTGTTGAGCCGGAGAGGGAGGTAGCAAAATGTCCTAGAGTGGCGGACTTTAACACTTGCTGTGCAGCTCCTCAAAAATGCAGACGCCTGCATGCGTCCACAGAGCAGGGAATGAAACAGAGCTAGTGAGGCGGCCCAGGCACCAGCGCGGTGGGGCGTGTGAATCTGATTCATGGTGTGGGAGAAAGCAAGCACATTTTTTATTATTATTATTATTATTATTATTTTGAAATGGAATCTCGCTCTGTCACCCAGGCTGGAGTGCAATGGCACGATCTCGGCTCACTGCCATCTCCGCCTCCCGGGTACACACAGTTCTCCTGCCTCAGCCTCCCGAGTAGCTGGGACTACAGGTGTGAGCAAGCACATTATTAATAAAGTCACAGGAGATTCCCTGTGACATTTCAACCCATACAAAGCATTCTGACCAGGCTGGGCAACGTGATGAGACCACATCTCTACAAAAAAAATACAAAAATTAGCCAGCATGGTGGTGCATGCCTGTAGTCCCAGCTACTCGGGGGAGCTGAGGTGGGAGGATTGCTTGAGCCTGGGAGGTCGAGGCTGCAGTAAGCTGTGATCACACACTCCAGCCTGGGTGACAGAGAGAGGTCCTGTCTCAAAGAAAAAAAAAAAAAGTATTTTCATAGTTTTTAGGTGAGGTTGCCATTGTTGTAAATGGCAAATTCTCCAACTCTCATCTATGAACATGGCCCATGAGGAAATGGAATATATCGAGCATCATGGTTGTTTCAAGAAATGACTTTTTTTTTAGTTCCTCATTCATTCTTCCCCACACAAAACTTCCCCAGCTGGCCTCCAACCCATTCTACCTTCTCACTTGTTCTGGGCTGAACTGTGCCCCCCCAAAAATTTACATGTTGAAGCCCTAATCCTCAAGACCTCATAATGTGGCTGTTTTGGGAAATGGGGTCTTTAAAGGAGTGACTAGATTAACATTAGGTCTTGTGTAGTCATGCCTGACTGTGCCTAATCCATCAGGACTGCTGTCCCTGTAAGAAGAGGAGACTAGGCCACTCTTCCCCCCAAGGCAAGATGGCATCAGTACACAGGGAGAAGGGGGCATCTACAAACCAAGGAGGGCGGCCTCAGAAGAAACCAACCCTGCTGACACCTTGATCTTAGACTTTCGGCCTCAGAACTGCAAGAAAATGAATTTTTGTTGTTGAAGCCATTCAGTCTGTGGCACTTTGTTACAGCAGAAACCACACCACCGGCCGGGTGCGGTGGCTCATGCCTGTAATCCCAGCATTTTGGGAGGCCGAGGCGGGCGGATCACCTGAGGTCAGGACTTCGAGACTAGCCTGGACAACATGATGAAACCCCATCTCTACTAAAAATACAAAAAATTAGCTGGGTATGGTGGTGGGTGCCTGTAATCCCAGCTACTCAGGAGGCTGAGGCAGGAGAATCACTTGAACCCAGGAGGCAGAGATTGCAGTGAGCCGAGGTCACGGCATTGCACTCCAGCCTGGGCAATAAGAGCAAAACTCTGCCTCAAAAAAAGAAAAAAAGAAAAAGAAAAGAAAGAAACCACACCAGCAACCTGGTCCTGAAGATCTTTCTCCAGTCTGTTTCTCTCTCTCTCTCTCATATGAACTTGCACTCACACAGATCACATGCACGGGGACTCACCACAATCTCCGAATGTTACAGCCAGGATGCTGGAGCGTTTCACACAACACTCTCATCCCTGGGTCCCCCAGAGAATTGTCACTGAGGTCCAATTCAGTTAGACTCTGGCTGGTGCTCAGAACTGAAAAGAGGCCCCGGCAAAAACTGGAAGTGAGGTGGCTGTTCACCAATCTAGGAATTAGAAGGAAGACAGACAGAAAAGAAATCAGCCTCGAATAATAACTAACTGGAGCTGGGGGCCGGGGTGCCTGGCACCAGTTCAGAGAAATGCCTTCCGGGGATTAAGAAATGGGTCACGAAACCAAAAATTGTTCCCAGAGAAATGAAGAGGGCTGGATGAGCCTTGGTAAAAGCAGTTCTGCCTCCTCTCGGACGGAGAGCATGAGCCTGTGACTGTGGCGGACTGTGGCACCCTACAGCCTGCTCCCCAGTGTCCTCCTCTCGCCCTTACCAGTCCACTGTCCCAACATGGCCCTGAACGTTCTGTGCTGGGTGATCAGAGGGCAGTCCTCACTCCTGGCTACACAACAGCATCAGGAGTGCTCACAAAAATCCTCAGGCCAGGCTGGGCATGGTGGCTCACACCTGTAATCCCAGCACTTTGGGAGGCCGAGGCGGGCAGATCACCTGAGGTCAGGAGTTCAAGATCAGCCTGGCCAACATGGTGAAACCCTCTCTCTACTAAAAATACAAAAATTAATTGGGTGTGGTGGCACGAGCCTGTCATCCCAGCTATTAGGGAGGCTGAGGCAGGAGAATCACTTGAACCTGGGAGGTGGAAGTTGCAGTGAGCCAAGATCATGCCACAGCACTCCAGCCTGGGCAACAGAGCAAGACTTCATCTCAAAAAAAAAAAAAAGAAAAAGAAAATCGCAAGCCCAGGCCACATCCATGGAAATAAAATCAGAAGCTCTGAGGTGGAACTAGATGAATTTTTTAAATTTTTTTTCAGATGAAACCCAAGCTGGAATGCAGTGCCATGATCATAGCTCACTGCAGCCTCAAACTCCTGGGCTCAAGCAATCCTCTTGCCTCAGCCTCCCGAGTAGCTGAGGTTACAGGCACGAGTCACTGTGTCCAGCTATATGGATCTTTTTTATTTAAAAAAAGCCAGGTGGCTCCAACATGCAGTCACATTTTTGCTTTTGTTTTTCTGTAGAGAGGTGCTCTCACTTTGCTGCTCAGGTAGGACTTGAATTCCTGGCTTCAAGCAATCCCCCCATCTTGGCCTCCCAAAACCTAGGATTACAGGCAAGAGCCACTGCACCCACACATGCAGTCACCTTTGAATCACCTGTAGCTCTCATTCAAATGCAAAGTCTAGCTCTCTAGGTCTAAGATTGGGTCCACAATCCTGCATTTCTAATAGATGCTCAGGCTTCTGGTTCTCAGAAGGGACTGGAACATACAAAGCAAGCTCCTGCCCTCAGAGTAAGGCAGCTGCCATCTAGAAAGATGGGTGCTGAGCCCCCTACCAGGGCTCCAGTCAGAGTCTGTCCTCAGAGTAAGGCAGGTGCCATCTAGAGGGATGGGTGCTGAGCCCCCTACCAGGGCTCCCGTCAGAGTCTGTCCTCAGAGTAAGGCAGGTGCCATCTAGAGGGATGGGTGCTGAGCCCCCTACCAGGGTTCCAGTCAGAGTCTGTCCTGAGGAAGGAAGGTGCTATCTAGAGAAATGGGTGCTGAGCCTCCTACCGGGGCTTCAGTGAGAGTCTGTCCTCAGAGGAAGGAAGGTGCTATCTAGAGAAATGGGTGCTGAGCCCCCTGCCAGGGCTCCAATCAGAGTCTGTCCTCAGAGGAAGGAAGGTGCTATCTAGAGAAATGGTTGCTGAGCCTCCTACCGGGGCTTCAGTGAGAGTCTGTCCTCAGAGTAAGGCAGGTGCCATCTAGAGGGATGGGTGCTGAGCCCCCTGCCAGGGCTCCAATCAGAGTCTGTCCTCAGAGGAAGGAAGGTGCTATCTAGAGAAATGGGTGCTGAGCCTCCTACCGGGGCTTCAGTGAGAGTCTGTCCTCAGAGGAAGGAAGGTGCTATCTAGAGAAATGGGTGCTGAGCCCCCTGCCAGGGCTCCAATCAGAGTCTGTCCTCAGAGGAAGGAAGGTGCTATCTAGAGAAATGGGTGCTGAGCCTCCTACCGGGGCTTCAGTGAGAGTCTGTCCTCAGAGTAAGGCAGGTGCCATCTAGAGGGATGGGTGCTGAGCCCCCTACCAGGGCTCCAGTCAGAATCTGTCCTCAGAGGAAGGAAGGTGCTATCTAGAGAAATGGGTGCTGAGCCTCCTACCGGGGCTTCAGTGAGAGTGTGCAAACCTTCCTCACAGATGTGTGATCTTCATAAGGTCTCCCTGCCCTCTCCACCTTCCACCTCACTCTTAATGAGTAGTTCTGCCTACTTTTCTCTCTGTCTTACTCTTCTTCTCCCATTTCTATGGTCTGAATGTTTGTGTGCCCCAAAATCCATACGCTGAAATCCTAACCCTCAACATGACGTATCAGGCGATGGGGCCTTTGAGGTGTGGTTAAGTTATGAGGGTGGAGCCCTCAGGAGTGGGATTGCTGTCCTTAGGAAAGGGACCCCAGAGAGCTGCCTTGCCTCTTCACCATGTAAGGACACAGTGAGAAGGCACCATCGACCAGGGAACAGGCCCTCACCAAACACCAGATCTGCCAGAGCCTGGATCATGGACTTCCCAGCCTCCAGAACCGTAAGGTGAACCTTCCTTTTGCTTATAAGCCAACCAGCCTGCAGTGTTTTGTTATGGCAACCTGATGAATGAAGACAACTGTCTTTTTTCCAGTCACTCGGAACTGTTTGCTGCCGTAGAAACCGTACCCTGCTTTCCCACACCTGCCCTCTCTCTCAACACCGTAAGCCCCCAGCCTGGCTGCCCCTTTCCTTCTCTCACTCTCTCACTGCCCATCCTCCGGAAGCTGGCTGAGCGGGGACACCCACCCGTGCCCCGCTGGTGAACAGGTTCGTCCCCTTGTGCTTTGGATACTCTGCAAGTTTCCTTGTCAGAGCCCATGACCCCCTCCCCGACATCTGCACTTGTTTCCGGACTGTCCCACAGCCAGACCTCAAGTCCCTGTGACCAGGACCTGGGTCTTCACCACCACTGCGGCCCTGTGGGCAGTCAGTCCTTCATGGCCAAACCATGACTAGGAAGGTGGTCCTGGTCATGGTAATGTCAACGGATCAAGAAAGCTGAAACTCATTGTTGCCTGTGGAAGGGCCAAGCCTCCTGTTTCCCTTAATTTTGCCCCACGTCAAGTGTCTTCTATCCAGGCTAAACTCACACATCACAGGGTGGCCACCTTCCTACAACCACTGTGGGTGGTCCTTCTGCAGGAGGCACTGAACGATAAACCCAAAAGGGACTCAGAAGTCAGGTGACTCAACCACTTCATTGCACAGACTTGGCCACTAGCTTCCAACCACCCAGCAAGTGTGTGAACAGACCCGAAAACGGGGTTTTGGCAATGCCCAGTGCAGAGCAACATGGGGGCCTAGAAAGAGGGTCTCCACATTTCTGCTCTATTTCCCTTGATTTACCTTCATCATGTTTTTTTCCAAGGAAACTGTGTCTCTCTCCACTGTCACCTGCACACACTTTTTCTCAGACTGCATTCATGATTTGGCTCATACCAGTCTTCAGTGCAGAATTCCTTTAATTTCTTCTCTATGCGCCCAGGTCCCACCATTCCTTAAAGGAGGCTTAGATTGCACATTTCTAAGAAACATCCCCCCAGCCTCCAGCTCTGAGGCCCTCTGTCCCCTCGCTCCTGGGACACAGACTCTCTGGCATTGTTCTGCCCCACAGACATTGACTGACTCTTAGGCACTAGTGCTCCAAGTAGCTTACAAGAAATTTCAGTTGACAAATATTTGTAGGCAATCCTACATCCTACTTAATACCTTGTGCTAAACTGGCATTCCCCAAACATTTGTTCCTTGTTTTATTTTTTTTTTCCTCATCCCATTTATCCACCTACCATACATCAATCTTTGCTCATGAAGGAGTCTCAAACAGACAGTGGTGGCATTATGATGTAGCTGTGGCAACAGTATTTGGAAGATAGTTGAAAAGAGATGAGAGGAGGCAAGCGCCAAGAAGAAGCTGGCGAGGAAGCAGGAGGAAGCACCTGGAAGCCGAGTTTCCTTACCCATGAGAACAGGCAGCATGAGAGGAGCTTGGGAGGACACACTGCACCATATCAAGGTGTCGGCCTTCCTTTTCCTCCTCCTCTTCCTCCTTGGGCATGTTATGGAGAAACCCCAGGGACAGTGACTCCACCCGATGACAGTTCTCAATGCAAAAGGAAGAAACCATGTGGTCCATTCTGGTGGAGAGATTGATCTCAATCTTGGGGAAATAGTCCATGGCCCTTTGCACGAAGTCCTCCTCCTGCATCTCGTACAAACAGTAGAACAATTCCAGCTGGCTGGGCTGGATCTGCAGCTTTTTAGCTTTGGCTTTCACTTCAATCCATTTCAGCAGCTCCAGCCTGATTTGCTGAGAGATCTTGCAACTTAATTTCTTCTCCAAGTAGGAGGTCCTCTCCTGGTTTACCAGGCCAAAGAGGAAACGTACAACAAAAATCAAATACCCCTTTTCGAATTTGCCATAGTTTTCCAGAAGGACTGTCACGTCTCGGCTGGGAAGCTTCAAACGACTCCCTGGAACGTTCGTCCTTCCTTCCTTTTCCTCTTCCAGCAGGTAGTACATGGCGGCAAAGAACTCCTGGAAAGTCATGTGGATGAAGCTGTAGAACTTCTCGCAGTCCACTTCCTTTTGGAACAGGTTCATCCTCAGGAAAGCAGACACATCCGCCTTCTGCAGTCCATGATTCCTGAGGTCGGACTCCTCAAACAGGATTTTCTGGTTCCAGATTCCATCTGCAGCCAAAGAGCAGAGCCCCCAGAGGTGGGCGCAGAGGCCGTGCTCCTGGCTCCCTCCCCGGGGCTGCAGCAAACTGGAAAGGAAGAAGACGTACACCGCGGTGGTGGTCTTGGATGTCTGGGCAAGGCTCTTGCCACTCTCCATCTGCTGTTTCAGTCCAGTGCACACGATCCAGCAGACCAGGGGGATGAAGCACATGGTGAAGAGGACCTCGTTCTCCTGAATCAGACTGAAGGCTGCCCTGGCTTGGGCCTCATCAGAGAAGTACTTGAAGAAGTACTCTTTCCTTTTGGCCTCGGAGAAACCCAGGATCTCCACATGCCGAGGATGGTCCAGCAAGTGCTGCAGTTTCTCCAGGGCCACAGGTCTCGTGGTGATGAGCAGAGAGGCCTCGGGAAGCAGCTTCTTTCTGATGAGGCTGCTCAGGAGAATGTCTCCCCGCTCGGCCTTCTGCCAGTCAGTGCAGAGCGGTCCTATGTGCTCGTCAAAGGCACCTTGCAGCTCATCGAAGCCGTCCATGAGGAAGAGGATTCTGGAGGGTTTTCTCACGATCTTGTGGATGGGTGGGTTTGGGTCGGGGCAGCAGCTCATGATCAGGTCCCCCAGGCTCCTCTGTGTCACAAGGCTCACCTCTCGACAGTGGATATAGAACAGATAGTCAAACCTGTCTTGGTAGAGTGTCCCCGACGCCCAGTCCAACATCATCTTCCTGGCCAGGATTGTTTTCCCAATCCCTGCCGCCCCCTGGAACACCACGGTGTGCACAGGCTCAGAATGCTCATCATCGGGGTCAAACAGCAACTCCATCTTAATGGGACTCACGGGGCTCTCACACGTCTTGGTCTTGCCGATGGCCAGAAGCTCCTGCTCCCTCTCCTGCTGGCTCCGGTGCTCCTTGATGAGACGCAGTCGTGTGTAGCGTTTGTTGAGGCTCACACTCTCACCCAGACGGGCATTCCTGTCTTCAATGCACTGGAATCTGCTTCTCACGTACTTTCTGTACTTCTTACGGTAATCTACGGCAAAGACAGGAAGTTAGGGGGAAAGTATACACACATCCACCTGAGATGCGCTCTCAGCTGGGGCCTGTCATCGGAAGCGAGTGGTAACCGGAATGGAGAAATGGAAGGTGCAGCTCCTCCCCACTGGGTAGGAAAGGTGCCGAGAATCTCTGGTGTCAAGTTTTTAAGATACACAGCTGAGCAGAAGGCCCATCTCTATGTGTAGCTACCAGCCCAAAGATCATTTGAATCAATCTTATTCCTTTAAGTAATCTGCATCCTATGCCTTATCAAACTTGAAACGCTTAATCACCGCCGCTGGCTCTGGGACTGCAAGAGCCACACAAACATGAATTTGTTTCTTCAACTGACAATGGATTTCCTGAGACAGGCCTTTGCATTCCAAAGAGCAGGAACCTATAGTATGGCCAAGTTACCCAGCTGCTCAGCTTCCCAGAGCCTCCTGAACCAGGTCTTAAAACTCAACTAGAAGCACCACCCCAGTCGCTTACCTTTCTTCATTTTACAAATAGAGATTCTCGAAAGGTACTCCAGTAAACCCATCCACTCCTCTTCAATGCTGTCTTCCTGGCATATCACAGTGGGATTCGAAACACGTGCATTATCTGAACCTAAAAGGGAAAAAAAAGGTGTCAAAACCCAGAACTATTATCACAGAGGATGCAATTGAAACCTGGCCTAATATTTGGCATGAGAGAGGAGACCCCAAACATCCCCCAAATCAAAACATGGCTCTGAGTTGCAGAGGACAGGTATCCAGTCAAAAGTCTGGTTGGGAGCATTTCTGCACTCCTAGTTTCAAAACAACTTCTGCTGTCCACCTGCCAAGCATGTGTTCCCACTGTCCCCAGTCTCAGAATCTCTTCCTCAGGCCTGGAAATCAATCAGCAAACATGCGAAGCAGGCTAAGTTTCTTTTACCCTCGTTTGCTTTTGCCTGCCCCTGGCAGCCTGATTGTGAGGGCATCTCCAAGCTCTCCTATATCCCCAACACGGCTGTGGGCTAAGAAAGGTCACCCTTCCCTGACCGCAGTTCCCTGCAATCCATTTTACACACGTCTTCTATTGTCAAGTCTAGATGTCTGGTTCTTCAAGAGTGAGAACGACCAGTCTATTTCGTGCCTAATCTAGTGGTTGGGAATCCTGGCTGACTTTAGAATCACCCAGGAAGCTTTAAAAATATGGACTTCAGGACTGCACGCCCAGAGGTTCTTTTTCAGTCCCTCTGAGGTGAGGCCCAGGAACCATCACATACTAAAAGCTCCCAGGTGATTCCAACATGCATCTGTGTTGAGAATCACAAATCCAAACAGTCACTAGATAGCATATCTTAAGAAGGCATTCTATAGGAGAAATTCAGGTTAGGTAAAACAAGAGTTAGTCACTAGGGGAAATATATAAGACAGATAACTTCAGGTGGGCAGGAATCTACAAGTAACATAAATGATTTTTTTTTTTTTTTTGAGACAGGGCCTCACTCTATTGCCCAGGCTGGAGTGCAATGACACAATCATGGCTCCCTGCAGCCTCAACCTCCTGGGCTCAAGTGATCCTCCCACCTCAGCCTCCAGAACAGCTGGGACTATTGACACGTGCCACCACACCTAACTAATGTTTGCATTTTTTGTAGAGACAGGTTCTCACTATGTTGCCCAGGCTGGTCTCAAACTCCTGGGCTCAAGCAATCCTCCCATCTTGGCCTCCTGAAGTGCTGGGATTACAGGCATAAGCCACTGCGCCCAGCCCATAAAAGACCTCTGACAGCTGTCTACTTGGTAACCATATCACAAAATAAAATCCAAAAAATCTAAGCCAAAACCAAAATCTTATTCTTTTTTTTTAAGAGACAGAGTCTTGCTTTGTTTCCAAAGCTGGAGGGCAGTGGCATGGTCATAGCTCACTCCAGCCTGGAACTCCTGAGCTCAAGTGATGCACCCACTTCAGCCACCTGAGTAACTGGGACTCAGGTAGGAGCCATGACAGTAAATTAGCCAAAGTCTATTACCTAAAACCTAACCCCACCCCAGGAAACAAACAAACAAACTTCTAACCCTAGTTATAACTTTTCTGCCTCAAAATCCAGATATGGAAGCAAAGACGGTGTAGTGGTTAAGAGCCAGGCTTTGATCAGAGACATGCCCTGCTTTTTACCCCAGCTCTGGTTATGGCTAGAAATAAACCATGGGCCAGTTAGGATCTCTTCCAGGCTCACCTCATTCACTTGCAGGAGGGATAATACCAGAAGCTGTTTCATGGGTTTCTTGAATGTGCCATAAAATCCATAAAAACTGCTTAGCAAAGTACTTCTACAGTTGTGATTATGACACTTTCATTTGGGTATGTGAGTATATAAGTACTGACACAATGATAATTGCTTTATTTACTTAGAGATGAGGTCTCCCTATGTTGCTCAGGCTGGTTTTGAGCTCCTGGGCTCAAGCGATCCTCCTGCCTTAGCCTCCTGAGTAGCTGGGACTACAGGTGAGAGCCATTGCAGCAACTGGTTTCTGACCTCCCCCGGCTGCACACTGCTGTCTGTTTCCCCAGTGTCATTACACCCACACTGCTGCCCTGCCTTAACATGTGTCTCCCTATCCACTGACTCATTTGTACTCCTCCTTCCCATCACCACCAGCTCTACATCATCATCCTGCAATACCCTGCCCTTCTCTGAGCCCTACCTTTGCCTAGAACACAAGACAAAAGAAAGAACCTTATCCCCAATGTGTACATGGGGATTAAGAGAATTTCTTTTACATTCCAATTCCCAAAGTGGTGGTGAAAGGAAAGGCTTCTGCCCCAAACTCCACGGTTCTTCAAGGAGAGAGGCTGCCCTCTGGGCCATAGGAAGCAGAGGCCCAAGCCTGCTGACCACACAGCAGATACTGGACAAAACATGTGGTCTGAGAAGCTGGATGGAGAATTGGAGGCAGGTCTAGGCACTGCTGAGATTCAGATAAAGAGGGACTAATCATGGCAGGTGCCCAGGGGGTAGGTACAGTCTGCATCAGCTTTTTAAAGGAGTTAGAGAAAGCAAACAGTTTGCCTCCACCTTCTCATAGCACTACCGTGAGAGGGGAAAAGAGAAAAAACCAAGACAATACAAGAAAAAAAAATTTTTTTTTGAAACAGGGTCTTGCTCTTTAGCCCAGGCTGGAGTGCCGTGGTGCAATCTCAGCTCACTGCAACCTCCACTCCCCATGTTCAAGCAATTCTCCTACCTCAGCCTCCTGAGTAGCTGGGATTACAGGTGCCCACCACCACACCCGGCTAATTTTTTTTGTATTTTTAGTAGAGATGGGGTTTTGCCATGTTGGCCAGGCTGGTGTTGAACTCCTGACCTCAGGTGATCCACCCACCTCAGCCTCACAAAGTGCTGGAATTACAGGCATGAGCCACCATGCCCGGCCATGATTTAAAAAAAAAAAAATCATACTAACTTCTGTGCATCAAAGGACACAGTTAACCAAATGAAAAGACAACCCACAGAATAGGAGAAAATATTTGTAAATCATATATCTGATATGGGGTTAATATCTAGAATACATAAAGAACTCCTACAAGGCAACAACAAAAGCCAAACCTGGTCTGAAAATGAGAAAAGAACTTGAACAGAACTTTCTCTGAAGAAGCTCTATAAATGGCCAACAAGCAGTGAAAATGTGCTCAGCATCACTTATCATTAGGGAAACGGAAATCAAAACTACAGTGAGATACCACCTCACACTCATTAGAATGGCTACTATAAAAAAGAAAAAATAAATAAAAATAACGTGTTCTTAGGATATGGAGAAATTGGAACCCTTGTGTGCTGTTGGTGGGAAATGGTGCAGATGGTATCTAAAACAGTAGAGCAGTTCTTCAAAATATTTAACAGAATTACCGTATGATTCAGAAATTTCACTTCTGAGTATATACCCCAGAGAATTCAAAGCAGGGTCTTGAAGAGATATTTGTGCACCAACACTCATAACAGCATTAACAATAACAAAAAGGTAGAAGTAATCCAGGTGTTCATCAACAGATAACTAAACAAAATTTGGTATATGGTACCATGGAGTATTTATACAGTCTTTTTTAAAGGAAGGGAATTCCGACACATGCTACAACATAGTTGAACCCGGAGGACATTATGCTGAGTGAAATAAACTACTCATAAAGGAAAAAATGCTGTATGTTTCCACTTATATGAGGTACCCAGAGTAGTAAGATTCACAGAGATGGCAAATAGAATGGTGGTTACCAGGGCTGGGAGAATGAGGCAATGAGGAGTTATCATTCAATGGGTGAGGAGTTTCAGTTTTGCAAGATGAAAACAGTTCTGGAGACTGGTTGCACAATGTGAGTGTACCTAACACTACTGAACTGTACATTTAAAAATTATTACGGCCGGGCGCGGTGGCTCACACCTGTAATTCCAGCACTTTGCGAGGCCGAGGCGGGTGGATCACCTGAGGTCGGGAGTTTGAGACCAACCTGACCAACATGGAGAAACCCCATCTCTACTAAAAATACAAAATTAGCCGGGCGTGGAGGTGCAATGCCTGTAATCCCAGCTACTTGGGAGGCTGAGGCAGGAAAATCGCTTGAACCCGGGAGGTGGAGGTTGCAGTGAGCCAAGATCTCACCATTGCACTCCAGCCTGGGCAACAAGAGCAACTCCGTCTCAAAAAAAAATATATATATATATATATATAAAGATGGAAAATTGTACACTATGTGCACTTGGCCACAATTTTTTTTAAAAGTCTTCCTTCCACTCACCCCACTTCGGCTCATCTCTTTTTGCTTTCTCATAAAGGTCTCTCCTGTTGATCGCAGCGAAGATCCACACGGCCATGGCCCACGCCTTCTCCTCCCCATTGAAGTCGATCATTAGCGTGGCTAGATCCACATGGTCTGCCTTCTCTGTCTGACCCCTCGGGAGGGGGATGCAGCCCTTCTGGGGAGGATAGTCCTCTAAGTGCATCTTAAATTTCTTCAAGTCCACATCCTCCAGGTCCTCCAGGTACCTGGCCAGCTTGCAGCGGGTGCTTGCCATCTTCATCTGCAGCTGTTTTCAGGGTCCTTAGGCTTCGGTCCACACTAAGATACCAGGCAGTGAACACGGCACACGGATGAGTCTTTTTTAAAGTCTCCACTTTGAGAGATATAAATTATCAAAAACTCAGCAAACAGAAAGAAAAAAATGTCACATGACTGTAACAAGTCAAAATCTTTAATTTTGAAAAGTTAGCCAAGGCCGGGCACAGTGGCTCACGCCTGTAATCCCAGCACTTTGAGAGGCCAAGGCAGGCAGATCACCTGAGCTGAGGAATTCAAGACCAGCCTGGCCAACATGGCAAAACTGTGTCTCTACTAAAAGTACAAAAATGAGCCGGGTGTGGTGGCGGGCGCCTGTAATCCCAGCTACTCAGGAAGTTGAGGTAGGAGAATTGATTGAACCCGGGAAGTGGAGGCTGCAGTGAGCCAAGATCACGCCACTGCACTCCAGCCTAGGCGACACAGCAAGACTCCATCTCAAAAAAAAAAAAGTTAGCCAAATGCTTACCAGAAAGTTCTCCTGTTGGCTCGATCCAGGAGTGTGTCCTGAGCCATGGAAGAAAGGTTTCCCTATGGAGGGAAAAATATGCAAACAAATCCATAAACAGGATTGTATTACAGTTTACGGTGAACAACCACTTCACGATGCCATCTTGACCCATCAGCAAGAAAATTTTTGTCCCGTTGATTACGGGGCTATGACATTGGACAAACTCTTCACTATTCCTCAACTTCAGTTTCCTCATCTACAAAATGAGAAAGCAGAAGAGAATGTTTTCAGTTCCTCCAAACTGAAGGCTCTGGCTCTTTGCTTCTGTTTTTGTGAGGGAAGAGGGATGAGAGACAATAGAAGGAGAAGGCCAGGAGGTGAGTAAGTGTGTTGATAACAGAACAGGACGTGGCTAGGGAGAGAGGAGAGAGAACATAAAAGCTTGCAGAGGAGGGGACAGTCTTTGACTGCACTTCTATCAACCAGTGGATTGAAGTGAGATGAAGCTGGGAGTGCATAATGGAGAATAATAAAAACATACATCCCTGTAATCCCAGCACTTTGGGAGGCCGAGGTGGGCGGATCACCTGAGGTCAGGAGTTGGAGACCAGGCTCACCAAACAACAGGGAGAAATCCCGTCTCTACTAAAAATACAAAAATTAACCGGGCATGGTACCAGGCACCTGTAATCCCAGCTACTCGGGAGGCTGAGGCAGGAGAATCGCTTGAACCCAGGAGGCGGAGGTTGCGATGAGCCAAGATCACACCACTGCACTCCAGCCTGGGCAATAAGAGCAAAACTCCATCTCAAAAAATAAAATAGAATAAAATAAAATAAATAAAAACATACATCCTTTAATGTCTCCTTGCAAAATTCGCAATTGTTATCATTATAATTCACATTAATTTAGAGCTTTCCACAGGCTAGGCACTCACTGATGTTTTTCCCCATCTAACCTGCACAGAGCTCTATGAGGTGCACCTATTCCTAGCCCCATTTTATAGATGCATAAACTGAGTCTTAGGGGGACTAGGAAGCCTGCCGAGGGGTTTAGAACCAGGAAGGAACAGAGCCAGGATTTTGACCAGAGATATGAGACCATGTCTTCCATCACTTGTTTCAGTCAGACAAAGACAAAGACAACAAAATAGATGACTAAAAGACACACTTCCCCAGCATTTATCACAGGTGTATCACTGCAGCATTCACCAACATAGTCTTCCCAACTAGACTGTGAGTTCCACAAAAACTAGCAATCACCTGCTGTATCTTTAGATCTTCCATATCTCCTAGAGTCCGGATGGATGAACAAGTTGGCTTTGTTTGGAATTGTTCCCTCCTTGATCCCTTGATTATACTCTATTTGGCAAAGCACCTCAACCTAAAGCCATAAATAACACTCAAGGGAGGCAGAGAGCCTGGAAAACGGTGGAGCTCTCCAAATTGGAATTTCTGTGACTGCAGTTCAATGTCAAGATGCCTCAGACTCACTCATCTCTCCCGTCCCATCTCCATTCCTGCCTATCTACTCCTCGCCTCCTGAGCCCTGCAAACCCAGCCCTGTGCATCCTGAGGTGACTGCTCTCCAGACAGCCCTATTAGCTCCGCATACCCTCCCAGCTCCTGCCCATCCTGAGGTGACTGCTCTCCAGACAGCCCTATTAGCTCCGCATACCCTCCCAGCTCCTGCCCCATCAGTCCTTCCATCTGCATCAGGATTCTGCCTTTCTTCTGTGCTCCTTCCACCCTAACACCAGCACAAAAATCTGCTGCCCTTTGGTCTTTAAGGAGGTTTGTTTCCTTCTGTATATCCCATCCATCTTCTCCCCTGGGAGGGATACTGGGCAAATCTGCTGAAGTCGTGGGTGTAAACTATGGTTGCTGCCGCTGTCCTCCCCGCTTCCCCCCGCCACATACACACACACGAACTTGCACACGTAGAGCCCAAATAATGATAAAAGAACATTCCAGAAATGTTGTTGAAGCACAACCTTGGAGACGCCAGAAGAAATTCCTAGTGCATTAACCAGGACAAGTTCTGCCCTCTGAACACAATCTCCCCCACTGCTCTCCCGGTCCTGTCGCCCACACTGCCCCGCGGAGCTGGACTTACCCAGATGCCAGCCTCAGGAACAGCTAGAGAGGAAATGCAATGAATTTATAGCAGTCGCAGCCCCAGAAGGGGCAGGAAGGATGTGGTCTCCACTTACATCAGAGCAGAGGCAGAGAGACTAATGGTTAATCACATAGCTGGATTTTCCAAATGGGATCAACAGTGTTGTCAAAACCGTGTCTCGGTTCCATACTGGGGTTCACCTTGCTCTCCTCTGAGGCACCCCACAGAAGCAGGGTGGGAGGCCAGTATGAGATGGGGCTGGGGGTCAAATCGGCAGTGCTAAATGGATGTTGCCTCTGACACTGCCCGCTGCAACGGCTCCACTGAGAGTGAGGGAAGTGAAACTAAGGACATGCCATGCGAGTGAGTAAAGAATCCAGAGCATGACCTGACCCAGCCTTCAAACTCCAGAGTCCATGCCCTGTCCTCTCACAGCAAGATGGCTGGAAGGCAGTACAGGTTCTCTCCGACATGTTCTACTTTTAAAGCACAAATTTTACTCCCTGACTCATTGACTCACCTGTTCCACTAACACTCACGGAATGGCTGGTATGTGGCAGGCATGCACACAAAGCCTCAGCTTGAGTAGCTTGAGGAGAGACACACACAGACCTACTCTGCAGCTCATGAGACGGCCGCAGGACCACAGACCGGCAAAGGCACAAGTTCAACAGAGCTTGGTGGGTGAGAGGCACTCGCTCAGCCTCTGGGTGAGTGAAAAGGACGAGCACCCAGTTCAGTGGAGGGATGTCAGCAAATGACTGGGTCTGTCTGTGCCTCATACCTGTAAAAGGGTGACAATAATTGCCTGCTACTTCTTTAGATCTTCCAAATCTCCTAGACTCAGGATGGATGAACAAGTGGTTTTGCTTGGAATTGCCCCCTCCTTGATCCCTTCATTATACTGCATTTGACCAAGCACTACATCAACCCAAATAACGGTACCTATCCTAGAAGGCTGTCAGAAAACACTGAGTGAATGGCTAAACGTGAGGCCTTTAAAACAGAGCCTGGCACAGAGAAGCTAGAATAAGCAGTTGGTTCCGATGACTACCACCTTTCTACAGAACTGCAGAGAGAATGCTCTACAACATGAGAGAGGCATCTAGTCCTGCTTAGGGGCATGACAGCAGACCTGAGTCTCCATGAACCAGGTGAAAGGTGTCATTCGGGGCTGGAGCTGAGGCAGGAGCAGCAAAAACTTCAGGTGCTGAAGCTAGAGAGAAAGCAGACCAAATATGCTCCAAAAGAAAGGAGCTCAGCCTGGGTGCAGTGGCTCATGCCTGTAATCCCAGCACTTTGAGAGGCCAAGGCAGGCAGATCACAAGGTCAGGAGTTTGAGACCAGCCTGGCCAACATGACGAAACCCCATCTCTACTAAAAATATAAAAAAAAATAGCTGGGTGTGGTGGCGGGCACCTGTAATCCCAGCTACTCAGGAAGCTGAGGCAAGAGAATCACTTGAACCTGGGAGGTGGAGGCTGCAGTGAGCTGAGATTGTGCCACTGCACTCCAGCCTGGGTGACAAGAGCAAGACTCCATTTCAAAAAAAAAAAAAGGAGCTCATTGGCTGAACCTGGGATCTTTTTGTTTTTGTTTGTTTAGTCAAGTTAATTTAGGTATAATTCAGCCGGGCGCAGTGGCTCACGCCTGTAATCCCAGCTCTCAGGGAGGCAAGAGGCGGGAGGATAGCTTGAGCCCAGGAGTTCGAGACCTGCCTGGGCAATATAGTGAGACCCCATTCTCCAGAAAAAGGAAAAAAAAAAGACAAATTTAGGTATAATTCATATGCAGTAAAAATCCATGCCTTTATAAAAACAGACCCATAGACCAGTGGAACAGAAATAAACTCAAGTATATGCAGTCAACTAATTCTTTGACAAGGTCACCAAGAAGACACAATGGAGAAAGGACAATCTCTTCAATAAAGATGTTGGCTATAGAAGTGTGAAAAAAAAATCAAGAAAAATATAAGATTTTGAAAAATTAAGCTTTTGGTGAAACTGGATTTCCACACGCAAAAGAATAAAACTTGGCACACACAAAAACCAACTCAAAATGGATTAAAGATCTAAACATAAGATCTAAAACTGTAAAACTCCTAGAAGAAAATAGAGAAGAAGCCAGGCATGGTGGCTCATGCCTGTAATCCCAGCACTCTGGGAGGCTGAGGCAGGAGGATCACCTGAGGCCAGAAGTTCACAGTCAGCCTGGGCAACATAGTGAGACTTTGTGTCTACAAAATTAAAAAAAAAAAAATTAGCCAGGCATGGTGCTGTGCACCTGTAGCCCAGCTACTCAGGAGGCCGAGGCAAGAAGATCACTTGAGCCCAGGAATTTGAGGTTACAGTGAGCTATAATGACACTACTGCATTCCAGCCTGGGTAACAGAATGAGACCCAATCTCTAAACAGATAAAAAACTAAATATAAAAAATAGAAAACAGAGGAGAAAACTTCTTGATATTAGCCTTGGCATGGATATTTTTAATGTCTCAACAAAAGCAAAGGAACAAAAGTAAAGATAAATAAGTGGGAATACATCAAAGTAAAAAGCTCCTGTATAGCAAAAGAAACAATCAACAGAGTGAAAAGGTAGCCAACAAATTGGAAGAAAATAGTTTTAAGCCATATATCAGATAAGTAGTTAATATGCAAAATATGTAAGGAATTCACACAACTCAAAGCATAAAACAAATAATCTGATTTTTAAAATGAAGAAAGGAACTGAATAGACATTTCTCTAAAAAAGAAACAAAAATGGTCAACATGTATACAAAAAAGTGCTCAACATCACTAATCATCAGGGAAATGCAAACCAAACCCACAATGAGGTACCACCTCAAACCTGTTAGGATGGCTATTAGCAAAATGACAAGAGACAAACATTGGCTAGGGCGTGAAGAACAGGGAACCCTTGCACATTGCTGCTGGGAATGCAGATTGGTGCAGCCATTGCAGAAAACAATATGGAGGTTCCTAAAGAAATTAAAAATAGAACTACCGTATGACCCAGCAATCCTTCTTCTGAGTGTGTATCCAAAGGAAATAAAATCACCACCTCACAAAGACATCTGTGCACTCATGTTCATAGCAGCATTATTCACCATGGTCCAGATAGGCAAACAACCCAAGTGTCTATTGACAGATGAATAAATAAAGAGTTTGGGGCATATATACACAATACAATCTTAGTTAGTATTAAAAATTGAGACTCTGCTATTTGCCACAACATAGATGAACCCGGTGGACTTTACACAAAGCATAATAAGCCAGGCACAGAAAGACAAACACTACATGATCTCACTCATATGTGGAACCTTAAAAAAAAAAAAAAAAAAAGTTAGGCCAGGAGTGGTGCCTCACACCTGTAATCCCAGCACTTTGGGAGGCTGAGGTGAGTGGATCACTTGAGCCCAAGAGCTTGAGACCAGCCTGGGCAAGATAGTGAGGCTTCACCTCTACCAAAAAAATGAAAAAAAGAAAAGAAAGGAGGGAGGGAGGGAAGGAAGCCAGGTGCAGTGGTGTGCACATGTCACCCCAGCTACTTGAGAGGCTGGGAGGCTGAGGTGGGAGGATTGCTTGAGTCTGGGAGGTCGAGGCTGCAGTGAGCCGAGATCACACCACTGCACTCCAGCCTGAGTGACAGACCGAGATCCTGTCTCAAAAAAAAATAGTTGAATATATAGAAACAGAGAGTTACCGGGGTAGAGGAAATAAAATGACGGTCAAAGGGTACGAAATTTCGGTTATGTAGGATAAATAAGCCGAGAGATCTAACAAACAGTGTGGGAACGATAGTTAAAAATATTATAAACCTGAAATTTGCTAAGAGAGATTTTAGATGTTTTTACCACCCACAAGAAAGATTATTATGTGAGATGGTGGCTATGTTAACTCATGTTAATTTGCTTGACTGCAGCAATCATTTCACTATGTATATCAAACTGCCATGTTATACACCTGAAATATGTACAATAAAATAAATATTCGCACCTTTTTCATGCACAGGCCTGTGAGTGCTCACAAGCATATAGCTACCCACCACCACAGCCCACACAGAGCACCTGCATCAGCTGCACATGCTCCCTGTGCAGCCTCTGTCCCCACCCACTGTGCTGCCACATAGTCAGCCTCTGTCCCCACCCGCAGCCCCACTTCTTCCACCTGCTAAAGCATTACCTTTTCCAGAGCATCACATAAACAGTGTGCAGCCTTTGGTGAGCGAGTCCGCTCACTTCATATGATGCCTGTGAGATTCAGATCAGTAGCTTATTCCTTTTTACTGCAGTTAAGTATTTCATGGGTTGGATAGGCCACAATTTGGTTTTCTATTCCCTAGGCAAAGGACAGTTGGGCTGTTTCCGTTTTTGGCAATCGTCAATTATGCCACTGTCACTCATGCAGCTGGCGAACTGGCTGCAATTGTGTAAGGACATCAGTCACTTGGGGCAGTGGGAAGTTCACGAGAAGCAGATGAGGTTTCCAGCCTTCGCTGCTTCACTCTCCGCTGAATGCTGCGACCACTCCTGTGGTCCGACTCCTTGCCTGCGACCCTCACCTCAGCTTTCCTGTGAGGCTCAAATAAAACAAGACCTGATCTATAATACATTATTGTAGAGAGGAAAAAATAAATAAAATAATACCTGACAGCAAAATGTAAACTGTACAGTAGTATTCAAATTGTAGGTCAGGCCAGTTTCAGTGGCTCACACCTGTAATCCCAACGCTTTGGGAGGTTTGAGGCAGGAGGATCACTTGAAGCCAGGAGGCCAAGAGCAGCCTGGGCAACATAGTGAGACCCCATCTCCACAAAAAATTAAAAAATAGACGGATGTGGTGGTGCATGCCTGTAGTACCAGCTACTCAGGACGCTGAGGTGGGAGGATCGCTTGAGCCCAGGAAATTGAGGCTGCAGTGAGCTAGGACTGTGCCACTGCACTCCAGCCTGGGTGACAGAGTGAGACCCTATATTAAAAAAATGCAGATTATGAATCTTGAAAAGATACTCTAATCATACATAAAAACTTGTCAATGAAAGACCACCATACTCTGTGTGTTATTATGCATTCTGAAAAAATTTTGTTTCAGATTTGGGAATATCAAAATCAACACAAATAAATAAGTCAACTCACAAAAGTAAAACGCGGTGATTTTCCATACATCATTCATGCAAAAAAAAATAATAATAATTTACTCTTGTACATTTAAGAAAAATAATTGCTTCCATTAAATACCCAAAGCTCACTTAAGTGGACTGGAACTCACAGCACTGAATTCCAAACTAAAATTGCATGAATGATTTCAAGTTGAAATCACCTGTGGTCCCCAGCTACTGGGGAGGCTGAGGTGGGAGGATCTTCTGAACCCAGGAAGTCAAGGCTTGCAGTGAACTGAGATTGTGTCACTGCACTTCAGCCTGGGTGACAGAGCCAAATCCTGTCTCCAAATAAATAAATAAATAAAAATACGCAAATAAATAAAAATTTAAAAAGAACTTAATCCCCCAATACAATAGTATTCAGGGGTGTGGTGTTTGTGGGGTGATTGAGTTTGTGGGGTGATGAATGGGATTCACACACTTGTAAAAGGGCTCCGGGTTCAAGGGGGTGCTCTCTCTTGCCTATCTGCCATGGGCCATGTGAGGACATGGCAACAAGGCACCATCTTGGAAGCAGAGAGCACTTCTCACCGGGCACCAAGGCCAGCGCCTTGATCCTGGACCTCACGGCCTCCAGAGCTCTAAGAAATAAATTTCTGCTCCTTAGAAATTACCCAGTCTCAGGTGTTTTGTTAGTACAAACGGACTAAGACACAAGCCCAAGTGGGATGATCTCAGGGGTGCTCAGCAAAGGCAGAGATCAGCCCAGAAGCCAGACATCCTCCCCTACTAGAGAGAACAGAAGAGATCGGAGGTGGGGAGTGCCAAAGTATCTGAGGTTACCAAGAAACAGACTGCATTTCAAACTGAAAGTGACTGGCTGATATTAAAAATGGCAATTTCACTTTCTCTCACCAGAAAAAATGTGACTAGCAGGAAGGGAAAAGGTATGAACAAAGACAAATTGGGTTTCAGAAAGTACAGTCATAACATTAGCGAGACTTTGTGAGTTCTTGTGAGGAGACGTGACCTTCCGTTGCTGCTGCTGCTCTTCCCTCTTTCCAGGGGTGACTGCTCCTCTGGGGCCTGGAGTGCTGGCGCTGAGTCAGCTTCCCCAGCTGAGGTGGGTTTTCCTAATGTGTCTATGACCCAAGAGTCCCAGGGGCCCCCGATTCCTCGACCTCTACACTTTCTGAGACACAGACTAAAAAGTGGATGGCCATCAAGAAAAAAGCTGTCAGTTCTTACTTTACGAAAGCCAAGTCCTTCATATAAGCATGCTATGTAATATGTTGGAATTGGCTTCTTCATCCCATTTATCTTCTCCTTTTCCTGTGTTCATAATCTGATCTCTAGAACCCACCAAGAGTGTTAGAGCCAGAGCCCCTTGTCTTGGTTCTTTGCCTCATCTACC
The DNA here is from genome assembly GCF_000001405.40 of Homo sapiens. Lineage (NCBI taxonomy): Eukaryota > Metazoa > Chordata > Mammalia > Primates > Hominidae > Homo > Homo sapiens. Next base: position 247,409,676 of record NC_000001.11, on the reverse strand, counting down.
TTTAAGGAATGCCTCCCAGTGCTCTCCAATATCTCTGAAAGACACATGCCAAGTTAAAGCAAATCGAGAGGACTTTATTGCAAACTCACAAAGAGAAGGAAAACAGGTAAGTATTCTTCATTACAAAAGTAATAGATAGTATGATTTTGTTTTTTGTTCATTTGTTTGTTTGTTTACTTGAGACGGAGTCCACTCTATTGCCCATGCTGGAGTGCAGTGGCGCAATCTCGGCTCACTGTAATTTCTGCCTCCCGCATTCAAGCAATTCTCCTGCCTCAGCCTCCCGAGTAGCTGGGACTACAGGCACCCACCACCACGCCCGGCTAATTTTTGTATTTTTAGTAGAGATGGGGTTTCACCATATTGGTCAGGCTGGTCTCCAACTCCTGACCTCAGGTGATCCACGCACCTCGGCCTCCCAAAGTGCTGGGATTACAGGCGCGAGCCACCACGCCCAGCCAATAGTATGATTTTTGTGAGGCATACATGGCTTGACTAAAAACCAGTGACTGAGTCACTTATATTTTATTTCATTGCTGAAATATAAACAGTTTCATATATGAGGGAATAAATTCAATCCCACCTACATTTTTTTCTTTTTCACAATTTTCGGTGCTTTTAAAAAATATTGTCTTCTTTTGAATACATTTTTAGTTGATTCATCTTTATTGTGAGGTATAGACACAAAATCTCAGTCTCACAGTATACTTACATTTCTAAGTTTGTTGCCAAGATGTAAAATCAGGGCTTTTACATAAACTAGTCAGATTTCAGGTTTCTGTTTAAAACTTAGAATTCTAGAACTAAGTCAACCACCATCCCTTCAACAAACGTGGCACCAGGAGCTTGTGCAGGCTGCCCCCACTGAGCATGGACTCAGGTTTTCCACAGTCCTCACCACTCCCTACTACCTCCTACTTTCCGTCCACACCTCTCATTTATATCGCCCACCGGAAACTCGAGGAATTGGAATTCACAGCACCTGACTTTCAACCTTGCCTTTAAACAAATAAATAATCAAAAAATAAACAATCAAGTTCCTTCATCAGAGATAAGGGACATTTGAGAGCAGTCAGTTATCTGCAGGAAAAAAAAAAAAAAACAAAAACGGTGATTTTAGTGCTCCTTGTCCATAACAGGTGGCTATGCCCAAGAGCCAAAAGGTAGAGACAACCCCAGTCTCCCGCAACAGATGAATGGAAAAACAACAAGGGCTATACACACACCACGGAATAGTCTAAAGAGAAAGGAAATTCTGACACACACTGCAACATGGACAAACCCTGAGGACATTTGCTGAGTGCGACAGGCCAGTCACCAAGGGACACACACTGTACGATTCTATGTATAGGAAGTTTCTACAGTAACCAAATTCACAGAAACAAAAAATAGAACCAGGGACAAAAAAAAACAGAGGGTGGGGGGATTGGGGAGAGAGGAATGGGGAATGAGTGCTTCATGAGTACAGAGTTTCACTTTTGCAAGATGAAAGCATTCTGGAGATTGGTTGTGCAACAATATGATTATTAAAAGTAAGAAACTGTATTTCGCTTTACCAGATATACCAATATAAATAATAAATGGACTGAATTCTTGAAATATATTTATAAGCATAGAGAAAAGAATGGAAAATACATACCACTTTTGCCTCCGAGGTCACCCTGAAAAGAGGTGACTGAGTTGGGAGAAGAAGTTTCTGCTTCACACAATTCTGTATCATCTGTTTTTTGCAAATAACATCAGCAATTTGTTAAAAAGTTACAGAAAAAGCTAAAAAGAGTTCCTGATAAAGAGGGCAGGGGGAAAGCTCTAGCCCCCGTGTCATTTCTAAAATCAACTACGAACAACAAGAAAGAGAAACAGAAAAGGAATCTCCACTTCTATGAAGACACCACTCAGTGGGGGACTGACCCCCAGGTGCTTGGCACCTGGGACTGGGAAGAGGAGGGCCAGGATGAGGGAGACCCTCTGTAGACCTTGGGGGTGGCAAAGAGAATCAAGGTTTTCCCAGGGCTGAAGCACAAACTAGTGGAGTCATCAACCCTGAGCCCCGCTCTCTTTGGAACCACAAGGTCAAGTCCACGGGCAAACCCCAAAACCTCTTTGGACACTGTGAGCAACAGCAGGAAGTGGGGAGGAAACACGGACGAGCATCTGCCAGAGCAAATGGTTGTCTGTTCCCAGTGTGGGAGAAACTGCAGGTCAAGACCAGCCTCAGCCATGCTGACACCAGTCACTGAGAAGTGCAAGTGAAATCACCCCAAATCTGTGACATGTAGGTTTTGGTGTGAGTCAAGGAGACTTCCTGTTAGTCTGGAGAGGACCACACCCCACAAAGAGGAGCAGAGAGCACAGGATGAAAGCAGGAGGCAGGACTCACGCTGCCTGCCCTGCCAGCACGTCCCCAGGCCTCGGCCTGGCACTGTTCCAGTGCCCGAACCTCGCTGTCACTCTGATGACTGGTGACGCGGATACATCCTTTATCAGAACAAGGACTTCGAGTGCATGAAATAAAACACAGAGATGACAAAGAGAATGGTAAAACATTTTTAAAGTTTGTAATATTTATGCACCAATTAATCATATCTAGCAGCGGGCCTAATAACTGGCATAATTTGAAAGTAGTGGTGACAGCAACTGACGTTTCAGCAAAACTGTAACAATATGAAGGTATCTAATTTCTAATGTGAAAAATGTATAGGACCTACTGATACTAATGGGCTGTGTCACTCACATTCATTAGAGAAAATAAAGAAGAGAACATTCTTCCCATCCAAACTCACAGATCTCCCCTGAATGATATCCACAGACTCCTTGGGGATATTTGCTAGGCCTTCTCCCAACTACTCTCCAAAACAGCGCTACTCCAGGAAAAATTCCATTATTTCAAGAACAGTGACCAATTTTTTTAAAAGAACCATCACGGAAAATATTAAAGATAATGTCAGAGAAGAAAACAAAAAGAGGAAAGGCATATGGCAGACAGAAAGATAATGGAGAACACTGAGTGATGACGGTATACCACAAAGCAGGCACAATAACGGCTCCCAAAGATGCCCATAGCCTAACCCCTGTAAACCATAAGTACTTGATGTGACGTGGCACTCTCATGATGTGACGTGGTGCTCTCATGATGTAGCGTGGTGCTCTCATGATGTGACATGGTGCTCTCATGACGTGACATGGCGCTCTCATGATGTGACGTGGCGCTCTCATGATGTGACGTGGCGCTCTCATGATGTGACATGGCGCTCTCATGACGTGACGCAGCGCTCTCATGACGTGACATGGTGCTCTCATGATGTGACGTGGTGCTCTCATGACATGATGCGACACACTCATGATGTGGTGTGGCATTCTCATGACGTAACGCGGTGCTCTAATGATGTGGCACGGTGCTCCATGAAGTGACACAGTGCTCTCATGATGTGACGTGGCGCTCTCATGACGTGACATGGTGCTCTCATGACGTGGTGTGGCACTCCATGAAGGGATGTGGCGCTCTCATGATGTCACGTGGCGCTCTCATGATGTGACGTGGCACTCTCATGATGTAACGTGGCGCTCTCATGATGTAACGTGGCGCTCTCATGACGTGGTGTGGCGCTCCATGAAGGGACGCAGTGCTCTCATGACATGGCGTGACGCTCTCATGACGTGGCGTGGTGCTCTCATGACTTGGCACGGTGCTCTTATGATGTGGCGTGGCACTCCATGATGTGACATGGCGCTCTCATGATGTGACATGGTGCTCTGGTTTGAATGCGCCCCCCACAAAGTCATGTGCTGGAAGCCTCATCACCAAGGCAATGGTGTTGGAAGGTGAGGGCCTCATAAGATGTGATTAGCTCACGAGGACACTGCGCTTATTAATGAATTAATGTCATTATCCAGGGAATGGGTTCATTATTACAAGAATAGTTCTGTTATAAAAGCAGTGGCTCATGCCTCTAATCCTACCACTTTGGGAGGCTGAGGCAGGAGGATCACTTGAGGCCAGGAGTTCGAGACCAGCCTGGTGCACACCTATCATCCCAGCTATGTGGGAGACCAAAGTGGGAGGATCACTTGAGCCTGGGAGTTCCAGGCTACAGTGATCTGTGATTGTGCCACGGCACTCCAGCCTGGATGATAGAGAGAGACCCTGTCTCTTAAAACAACAACAACCAAAACAAAAACAAGCAAGTTCAGCCTCTCTTGCTTTTACTCTTGCCCTCTCTGCCCCTTCTGCCTTCTGTCATGGGATGACACAGCATGAAGCCACTCACCAGATGCCGGCACTTTGCTCACTGTGCGCTCAGTCTCCCAGACCTCCCGAATGATGAGCCAAATACATTTCTGTTCATTATAAATAACCCTGGCTGTGCCATTCTGTGATAGCCACATAAAACAGATGAAGACACACAGCTAAGGAGAGTTAAGGCAGCAGATGGAATTAAGTTCGTTAATCAGCTGACCTGAAGGTAGGGAGAGTATCCCGGACCATCCAGGTGAGCCTAATCTATGGACCCGAATATAAGGGTCTTTACAAGGGAAAGAGGAAGGTAAAAGGAGGGTCAGAGGGATGTGACGTGTGAAGGACTCAGATGAAAAGGGCCACGAGCTAAGGAATAAGGGAAGCCTCTGGAAGCAGGAAACGCAGGGGAACAGAATCTCCCCTGAAACCCAGAGAGGAACGCAGCCCTGCCAGTGCCATGATTTTAGCCCAGTGAGGCCCATATTTTACTTCAGACCTGCAGAACTGTAAGATTATAACTTTTGTGGTTTTTCAGACAGTAAGTTTGTAGAAATTTCTTATGGCAGACATAGAAAACTAATACAATTGGGAAGAACTAGTTCTCTGTGAGATGAAAGAATTTACAGAATGTCTTGTCTATCACATGTAAGGGTCTGAAAAAGAAACATAAGGGTTGGACGACACAGGCAATCTGATGCAAAGGAGATGAAATGATGGAGCGACAAACTCAGATAAAAAGAAAGGGAGAGAGTCTCCAGAAATGAAGATCACAATAAAAGCAGCACAAAAGAAAAACAGACTCCACTCCGTCGTCATTCAGTGTGGTGGAGAACATGATTGAGAAACAGAGCAAAAGAGAGAGCAAAGGACAAAATGTTTAAGAGCATTTTAAAGCCAAATTAAAGATGTATAAGTCAAAGACAAGAATAGGCCAGGCGCGGTGGCTGATACCCGTAATCCTAGCACTTTAGGAGGCCAAGGCAGGCAGATCACTTCAGGCCAGGAGTGGCAACATGGCAAACATGGCCTGGCCAACATGGCAAAACCCCCGTCTCTACTGAAAATACAAAAGTTAGCCAGGCATGGTGGAATGTGCATGTGGTCCCAGCTACTCAGGAGGCTTGAGGCAGGAGAAGCACTTGAACACAGGAGGCAGAGCTTGCAGTGAGCTGAGATCGCACCATTGGACTCCAGCCTCAGTGACAGAGCGAGACTCAGTCTCAAAAAACAAACAAACAAAAAAGACAAGAATAAATGCAAGAGAATAAATGTCAAGAACTTGAAAAAAACTCTCCAGCCACACACAGTGGCTCACACCTGTAATCCCAACATTTCGAGAAGCCAAGGCAGACGGATCACTTGAGCCCAGGAGTTCAAGACTAGCCTGGGCAACATAGTGAGACCCCATCTCTACAAAAAATTACATTTAGCCAAGTGTGGTGGCACATGCCTATAGTCCCAGCTACTCGGGAGCTTGAGGCAGGAGGATCCTTTGAGTTCAGGAGGTCAAGGCTGCAGTGAGCAACCTCCACTGCACCCTGGGCAACAAGAGTGAGACCCTGTCTCAAAAAACAAGCAAACAAACAAAGCAGAAGACAAAAAACCTTCCTTAAATTAAGGTATGCTTCAGTCTACCAAATAAAATGGCACAATGTCATAAAAAAGAATGAAATCATGTCTTTTGCAGCAACATGGATGGAACTGATGGGCATTATCCTGACTGAAATAACTTAGAAACAGAAAGTCAAATACTGCGTGTTCCCACGTATAAGTGGAGGCTAAACCATGTGTACACAAGGACACGCAGAGTGGAGGAATAGATATTGAGACACAAAAAGTAGAAGGGTGGGGAGGTGGAGGTTGAAGAATTACCTGTTGGGTACGAGGTTCACTATTGGGTGACAGGTGCACTAAGAACCCCGACTTCCCCACTACACGACACATGCTTTTCAGAAACCTGCACTTGTACCCACTAAATAGATTTTTTTTAGTTTAAATAAAATTAAAAATAAATTAAAAGTCACAATGTGATTCAAGAACTGATTCAGGATGTGCCACATTTGGGAATATATTTCAAAGACTGAGAAATAATTCTGTGGGCAAAAATCGGCAAATCAAGGCATCTATAAATGAGAACAATCAAGCCACCCACAGATTTCTACTTAACGTCATTTGATAGAAATGTTTTTGTTTGTTTTTTGAGACAGAGTCTCACTCTGTTGCCCAGGCTGGAGTACAATGGCATGATCTCGGTTCACTGCAACCTCCACCTCCCTGGCTCAAGCAATTCTCCTGCCTCAGCCTCCCAAGTAGCTAAGACTACAGGTGTGCACAACCATGCCTGGCTATTTTCTGTATTTTTAGTAGAGACAGAGTTTCCCCATGGTGGCCAGGCTGGTTTTGAACTCCTGGGCTCAAGTGATCCACCTGCCTGGATCTCCCAAAGCACTGTTATTACAGGTGTGAGCCACTGCACCAGGCCTGCTTGAAATCTTAAAGCAAAGTTTGACTTAAACATGCAGTCAACATTCATTCAAGCCAAAGCTCATGATAAAGCTATTTTTAAAACAGATAAGAACTTTTAAAATACCATTCTCATGACTACTTTTTGGAAAAGAAAAATAAAAAAACAACCCCGTTAGAGTATAAGCTTAAGCCAATTATGTAATCAAAGGAGAAGATATTGAAAAATGATGTTGGTGGGCACTGATTTTTTTTTCACATTTTACAATTAACTTTTATCAAACTAATGGATGCACATGCTTTTTAAAAACCGCTAAGCACTCAGCCTTTCTGTGGGCAATATGCTAGTTAAACTCCATTTTCCACTATCCCTACTTGGGGTGCTTATGTGTCTAATTAAACTGCTCATATCCAAGCCTTCTTTGCAGACAGGAGTGGCCATCTGTCATAAAGCTGGCCAGAGAGATACTGGCAGAAGCCATTGAGTCACTTTTTTAAGGAACCTCTGACAGAGTTCCACTTCCAGAAAGGCAGTGTGAGGAGCTCAGTGTACCCATTCCAAGAAAAAAAAAATCCTAACTCATGATAATTGTAAAAATAACAACCATTTAATTTACCTGAAAATTGTCGAAACGGCAGGCAACAAATGAAGAAATCATTATTGCGTAAAATCTACGAAATTCCTCTGTAAGAACTGTGAGAGTCTTACCCTTGAACCTGACCCCGCCCACTCTTCTCAGCATGACGGAAGCTCCACTCTGGGTGAGTGTGGCCAAGAAGTTGGGGCCCCTCTACCTTCACCTCTCCATCTCATCAGAAGCTGCCAGTATTCCTCATCCCCTCCAACTCTGAGTTACAGAGGGTAAATTCCTGGCTTTGCCCTAAGCATGGCAAGCTGAGAACATTCAAACCCCAAGGGCCTTTTGCCCCAGCCCCTGGGTGGAGCTTCCATGCCAGGAACTTCCACACGGATGCTAACATCAGCATTATTCATAAAAGCAAAAAAGTGGAAACCATCCAAACATCCAAAGGGATACATAAAATGCGGCATATTCATTGTGTGGCATATCCATACAGTGGCATATTACTTGGCAATAAACAGTAAACAATTACTCATATATCCAATTACATGGATGAGCCTTAAACACATATGACATGAAAGAAGGTGCTTGCAAAAGACCACATACTGTAAGGTCCCATTTATATTAAATGTCCATGAAAGACAAATCTTACAGAGAAAAAGGATGTTAATGCTTGCCTAGGGCTGGGGATTTGGGAGGAAATGAAGAGTGACTCATATCAATAAAACTATTAGTTTTAAAGGTCCTATAAAAGAGGAAGACTTCCTTGGAATGTACCTTGTAGACTTTGTCCTTCCTCATCTACTGCAGAACCTGGGGGTACAAAAGGCATCGTGAACCTATGAGGACAAAAGCCACACACTATCAACGACTGCGCAAGAACAGCGAGAGTCTGGAACTGCGGTGACCTCATGAGCTGATGCCCTTTCTCTCGACAGCGAACAACAATAGCCTTGCATAAGTCACTGTACTGTGTGCTTTTTTGTCATATGCAGCCAACTGAAAATCCTAAACAAACACCTGCCCCCTCCACCCCATCCCACGCTCAGAAGCACCTGCTTTTAGCACATTCAGCAGCAGTGGGAGGGGTTGCTGCTTATCCCTTTACACTTAAATTGGCTTATACTGCTATTTCTTGATTTTTCCATTTTAGACATCATTTACTAACTGATAAGACCATTGCAGATGCAGTTATTTTACACCTACCCTTCAACTCCCTTCCACCCATTTCCCCAACATAATTACGATTTTACATTAAACCATTCAATGTTTACAAATTTATCACGTTAATGTTCCTCAGTGCAAAGCCAAGTATTGAACTAAGATTTTTTCTCCCACTGTCTTATTTTTTCATGAGTTAATAAATCCTTCTTTTTCATAATTGCCTGCATTTTCTTGTTATGTCTGGATACACCATGACACAGTCTATCAAGCCATCAATTCTATGAGGGTCTCCCTCCAGACCACCCTCGGGGCACTCAATCCCCCCACACATTCTGCACTGGTTCCTCTAGAGGTCACTCTTCTGAAGCTTCTCCTTGCCCCTCGCCTTAGTTGGAGCCAAGATTTCCTGGACTCTGTACCTTTGTCTTTCTTCATTTGCTCTCTTGTCTTGCTGAAGCACATCTCCCACGAGCTTCCTGAAAAAGGCATCATCAGGCAAATGTTCTGAGCCCTTCAGGCTGGCCAGTGTTGATGCTTTGTTCTCACACTTGATAATAGTTTATCTAGGTTGAAAAATTTAGGTTGACAATACTTTTTTCTTTTTTTTTTTTTTTTTTTTTTTTTGTAGAGATGAGGTCTCCCTATATTGCCCAGGCTGGTCTCAAATGCCTGGGCTCAAGAGATCCTCCTGCCTCGGCCTCCCAAAGTGCTGGGATTACAGGAGTGAGCCACCATGCCTGACAACAATACTTTTTTCTTAAAATTTTGAAAGCGTTGCTCCTTTTTCTTCTGGCACCTAATGTCGCTTTTGAGAAACACAATGCCATTCCTATTCTTGTTGTTTTTGGTGATGTTTTTTCTTTGTTAGTTTTCTTCTCTTCTCTGGATGCTTACACGGTCATTTCTTCCTTGGTTCTAGAATTTCAGAGCCACGTGTTTCTTTTATGTACTGACACTTAAGGAGGCATTTCAATCTGAGATCAGATATCACCAGTTCTAAGAAAGTCTTCCCCATGATTTCTTTGATAATTTCCTCTCCTCTGTTTTCTCCTCCCTCTCTTCCTTTAAATCCTAATAATTGACTTTTAAAAATCTCCCTGCCTTGGCCGGAGACACCTGTAATCCCAGCACTTTGGGAGGCCGAGGCGGGCGGATCACGAGGTCAGGAGATCGAGACCATCCTGGCCAACACGGTGAAACCCTGTCTCTACTAAAACTACAAAAAAATTAGCTGGGTGTGGTGGCGGGCGCCTGTAGTCCCAGCTACTCAGGAGGCTGAGGCAGGAGAATGGCATGAACCTGGGAGGTGGAGGTTGCAGTGAGCCGAGATCGCGCCACTGCACTCCAGCCTGGGCGACAGAGCAAGACTGCGTCTCAAAAAAATAATAATAAAATAAAATAAAAAATCTCCCTGCCTTGATCCACCCAGGCTCTTTTGTCTGTTCATCATTTGGATCTATCTTCTGACAGATTCTATTTACTTTAATTTCCAGCTCTACTATTTTCTTATTAATTTTGGTTCATAATTTCAACTTCCAAGAGTTCTAGTTTTCAGACTACTCTTACTTTATAGAATCCTGCTGTTGCTTATCTATCTCTTTAAGTATACTGTTAGCTTTTTTCTTTTGGTTTCATTTGTCCATTGCATTATGTTTTCTCACCTTTATTTTCTCGTCTCTTGCACATTTTCCTTAAATATCTCTAGATCCTTACCTGTTAATTTAACAGTGAGGCACTAAAATAACGGATTAAAGCTCTGAGAACATAGATGAAGCTTACAACCTGAAGTGGGGAGCTTCTCTTTCAGAGCTGGGCATGAAACTATCCATTTTATTGGGGATGCTCCAAATGTCAGGATAAGGAGGTATTTTCTCTGGATACACCCAGGTTCTCTGGAGAGGAAGCTATTAACCTTCTTTAGCAATTGGCCTCTGTCTGCTGATGTCCTATGGTCAGGCAGGTCGACTTTTATTTTTTTTTTTTTGAGTCTCGCTGTTACCCAGGTTGGAGTGCAGTGGTGCAATCACAGCTCACTGGAGCCTTGACCTCCCAGATTAGGTGATCTTCCCACCTCAGCCTCCAGAGTAGCTGGGACTACAAGCATGCGCCACCACACCCGGCTAAATTTTTGTGTGTTTTTTTTTGTTTGCTTGTTTGTTTCTTTGTTTGTTTTGTAGAGACGGTTTCGCCATGTTGCCCAATCTGGTCTTAAACTCCTCGAATCAAGAGATTCATCCATTTTGGCACCCCAAAGTGCTAGGCTTACAGGTGTGAGCCACCAGGCAAAGCCAGGCAGGTTGAATTTTAATCCCTTTTGTACCTACGCTGGCTTCTTAATTTCATCTCCCTCTGCACACACTACAGGTAGTATCTTAATCTCATCTCCCTCTGCACACTCTATAGGTAATATCTTAATCTCATCTCCCTCTGTTCATACTACAGGTAATATCTTAATCTCATCTCCCTCTGCTCACACTATAGGTAGTATCTTAATCTCATCTCCCTCTGCACATACTACAGGTAGTATCTTAATCTCATCTCCCTCTGCACATACTACAGGTAGTATCTTAATCTCATCTCCCTCTGCACACCCTACAGGTAGTATCTTAATCTCATCTCCCTCTGCTCATACTACAGGTAGTATCTTAATCTCATCTCCCTCTGCACACACTATAGGTAGTATCTTAATCTCATCTCCCTCTGCTCATACTACAGATAGTATCTTAATCTCATCTCCCTCTGCTCATACAACAGGTAGTATCTTAATCTCATCTCCCTCTGCACACACTATAGGTAGAGTAATTTCTTCCACTCCATAAAATTTGTTGTCATATAGAGTGAAAAATTTAGTACCTACGGTGGACCCTTGAACAACATGGATTTGAACTGTGCAGGTGCACTTATATGTGGATTTTCTTCTGCCTCTGCCATTCCTGAGATAGCAAGACCAACCTCTCCTCCTCTTGCTCAGCTTACTCAGTGTGAAGATGATGAGAATAAAGACCTTTATGATGATCAACCTACTTCCATTTAATGAATAATAAATGTATTTTATCTTCCTTATGATTTTCTTAATAACATTTTCTAGTCTCTAGCTTACTTTATTGTAAGAATATAGTATATAATATGTATGACATTGAAAATATGTGTTAATCAGCTGCTTGTGTTATTGGTAAGTCTTCCTGTCAACCATAAGGTATTAGTAAAGTTTTGGGGGAGTTGGAATTTACATGTAGCTTTTCCCCTCTGTGTGTGTGTTTGGGGCTGTCGATGCCCTTAACCTCTACACTGTTAAGAATAAACTGTGTACTGTTGGTGGGAGTAAGCAATGGAAGATTATATTCATAATATCGGATTGGTAAATGCCTGTTAAATTAAGATATGAAATGCAGAATCCATAAGATACTGGTACCTACGTAAAATTAGGCATTTTTCAAGGCAATAAAAAGTCCAATTGGAAGTATGTTATTAGCAGCAACAGGCCAGTATTATATATATCTAAAAGGTTTGTACAGATCAGTTCAATGGCCAGTTACATATGTCTAAAAGGATTTGTACAGGTCAACTCAATAAAGATTAATATTCTGTTAGAAAGCAAAATGGGCAAATGACTAAAACACGCAGTTCGCCGACTGTGGTGGCTTATGCCTGGAATTCCAGCTCTTAGGGAGGTAGAGGCAGACAAATAGCTTAAGCCCAGGAATTCGAGACCTACCTGGGCAATATAGTGAGACCCCTTTCTCCACAAAAAAGAAAAAAAAAGTGTAAACCTGCAGTTCACAGAAAAGAAAAATACACAAAGGACTTATAAAATGTCTTTAAAATATGCTTGATATACTGATAATTAAATACATAGAAATTAAAACAAGAAATCAGCCAGGCATGGTGGGGACTGCCTGTCATCTCAGCTACTCAGGAGGTTAAAGCAGGAGGATCACTTGAACCCAGCAGTTCAAGGCCAGCCCAGGCAACACAGCGAGGCCCCATCTCCAAAAAATAATAATCATCTATTAGCATTTCAAAAAATAAAGATTAAGAGATTTGGGGCCAGACGCAGTGGTTCACGCCTGCAATCCCAGCACTTTGGGAGGCCGAGGCGGGCGGATCACGAGGTCAGGAGATCAAGACCATCCTGGCTAACACGGTGAAACCCCGTCTCTACTAAAAATACAGAAAAAAATTACCTGGGCATGGTGGCGGGCACCTGTAATCCCAGCTACTCGGGAGACTGAGGCAGGAGAATGGCATGAACCCAGGAGAAAGAGCTTGCAGGGAGCCGAGATCACGCCACTGCACTCCAGCCTGGGCGACAGAGCGAGACTCCGTCTCTAAATAAATTAATTAATTAATTAAAAAGAGATTTGGTAAAACACAATGTTGGCAAGATGAGGAAATTTTGCAGCATTGTACATTCAGAATGTAATGTATGCTGCCATGACTATTTTCTCCATTTGACCAAGAGCCATCAGTATTGTTAATAAATGTATCCACTGAACTAGTGTTTCTATGTCTAAGAATTTATCCTACAGATATATTTGTAATTAATACAGAAAATATGTATGTATACAAAGATGTTCATTGAAATACTGTATGTGATATCTCAAAACTGGGACAATCTGCTATCTGGTGTGGTTCCCAGGCAAGGGCCAGCCTGGGAACTGCTTTTTAACCTGTTCGTGACAAGATGAGAACTCGTGCCAGCATCTCTAACAACTACATTACTAAGCACATTACAAGACTCTTTCTTTCTTTCTTTCTTTCTTTCTTTCTTTCTTTCTTTCTTTCTTTCTTTCTTTCTTTCTCCTTCCTTCCTTCCTTTCTATTTTTTTTTTTTTTGAGACAGGGTCTCACTCTGTCGCCCAGGCTGGAGTGTAGCGGCACGATCACAGCTCGCTGCAACATCACAGCTCGCTGCAACCTCGACCTCCGAGGCTCAAGCAATTCTCCCACCTCAGCCCCCTGAGTAGCTGGGACTACAGGCACATGCCA